>NC_000006.12:97949577-98101093 GCF_000001405.40 Homo sapiens | reverse complement strand
TTCAGACACTTTGCAGAGCTAGAAAAAACTATTTTAAAATTCATATAGAGTAAAAAAAAAAAAAAAAAGCCCGAATATCCAAGGCAATGCCAAGCAAAAAGAACAAAGTTGGAGATATCATGCTACCTGGCTTCAAACTATACTACAGGGCTACAGTAACTAAAACAGCATGGTACTGGTACAAAAACAGACACCCTGACCAATGGAACAGAATAGAGAACCCAGAAATAAGACCATACACTACAACCATCTGGCCTTTGACAAATATGACAAAAACAAGCAATAGGGAAAAGGATCCCTATTCAATAAATGGTGCTGGGATAACTGGCTAGCCATATGTAGAAGATTAAACTGGACCTCTTCCTTACATAATACACAAGAATCAACTCAAGATGAATTGAAAACTTAAATGTAAAACCCAAAACTATAAAACCCTAGAAGACAACCTAAGCAATACCATCCTGGACATAAGAATGGGCAAAGATTTCATGACAAAGCACCAAAAACAGTAGCAAAAAAAAAGCAAAAATTGACAAGTGGGATCTAATTAAACTTAAGAGATTTCACAGAGCAAAAAAGAAACTATCAGAGTAAACAGACAACCTACAGAATGGGAAAAAAATTTGCAAACTATATATCTGACAATGGTCTAATATCCAGCATCTATAAGGAACTTAAACAAATTTACAAGAAGTAAAAAAAAAAAAAAGAACAACCCCAATAAAAAGTGGACAAAGGACATGAACAGATACTTTTCAAAAGAAGACATACATGCCGTCAAAAAGCATATGTGAAAAAGCTCAACACTACGGATTATTAGAGAAATGCACATCAAAATCATAATGAGATACCATCTCACACCAGTCAGAATGGCTATTAGTAAACACTCAAAAAAAAAAAAAAAAAACAAATGCCAGTGAGGTTACAGAGAAAAAGGAAAGTTATACACTGTTGGTGAGAGTGCAAATTAGTTCAACCATTGTAGAAAACGGTACAGCAATTCCTCAAAGAGCTAAAAGCAGAACTACTATTTGATCCAGCAATCCCATTACTGGGTATATACCCAGAAGAATGGAAATTATTCTACCATAAAGACACATGCACACAAATGTTCACTGAAGCACTCTTCACAACAGCAGAATCAACCTAATACCTATCAAAGGCAGATTGTATAATCAAAATGTGGTATGTATATACCATGGAATACTATGCAGCCATAAAAAAAGAATGAGATCATGTCTTTCATGGGAACATGGATGGAGCTGGAGGCTATTATCCTTAGCAAACTAATGCAGGATCAGAAAAATCAAATACCGCATGTTTTCACTTATAAGTAGGAATTAAATGATAAGAACTTATGAACACAAAGAAGGAAACATCAGACGCTGGGTCTTCCTGAGGGGGAAGGGTGGAAGGGTGGAAAGGGTGGAAGGAGGGAGAGGAGCAGAAAAGATGACTATCCGGTATTGGGCTCAATACTTGAGTGATGAAATAATATGCACAACAAACCCCCATGACACGTTTACCTATGTAACAAACCTTCACACATACACCCAAACCTAAAATAAAAGTAAAAATGAAAAGGTAAAAATGAATGGCAGAAAATCAGACTGCTTGGTTTTGAGTAGAGGAGATTATATTTATATTCGTAAAAGTAAGTAAGTCTCCAACCTGTGGCCAAAATACAGAGCAGTGTGGGCAAAACAATCAAGTGTTGCTTAGAAATTTTCTGCAGAGTCTTCAACAAGATCAAAGATAAAACATGAACATGAGAATTTGTTGCAGATAAGAAATATTTATCAAGTATTTTCTCCCCTACTTACCAAACAGAGATAATTGATTTCAGGACAGATGTGGTTCTTGATATTGCCCGAATTCCAAACTCTTAATTATGTAGGAAAATTGAGCCTAAAAAATAAAACAAAAAAAAAGTACGAACTAAATGTCAAATGTTGAAGAAAAGCCTGTTTTATAAGAAACAATTGGTGTATCTTATCTTATTAAAAAAGAAGCTTACAAATTGATCCATGTAACATTTACTTATAAATATAAAAAGAGTAAAATGATTGCCTTTAGTTTTTCCTTTACTTGTTCAAGTCTGAATCTGACAGATGTGGATTAAATGTGTCTATTCTGTTTACCAAAACAGACTTTTAAAATTGCTAGATTATACCAATAGATATTCATTCATATTATTACCATTCCATCACAGTACATGGTGATATTTCTTTTAACTGTCATTTGCATATTGAAACACTCTTTCAATTTTTATCACTTGTACTGATACTACTCTAGTAATGGAATATGCTCTAGTGATTTTAAACTCAATACTTAGTAAATTAATTCCCAGTTGTCTTCATAAATATTCTAGAGTATTAGGAGGTTGCAGGCCACATAAGCTGTAAAATATTATTAGGATTATCTAGTGAAAAATCTACTCTTTATGATATTTTACAGAATTATTTAATGTCACTTAATGCTTCCTGATGGCATCTTTACAGAGGATTGCTACTTTAAAGGGAATTTTAAAATATAGAAAAAAGCAGGAATATTTTAATTTTCTGTGGTAGGCACCAAATAGATGACTTACAGCTATTTTTCAAGAAATATCTGAAAAATGTGCTCAACTTTCATCCCTTAGAACATACTCTCAAAATATTTCACAAAACCTTGTCTATTATTCAAAAAGAGAAGTGTGTGTGTGTGTGTGTGTGTGTGTGTGTGTGTGTGCGCCAGATTATAAAAGATTAAGAGAGTGAGAGAGAGAAGTGGAGCCATATAAATCAGAAGAAAATGAAAAGAGAAAAATAAAAGAGATGTTAAATGAAAAAATAAAACACTGTGTCCACTGAGTCAAAGCACACTGAACCAAAAAAGACATTTCATTTTCTCTAATTCATCTGTATGGTGCATTTTATTTATATTTCCTGGCAGAAGTCAGAATTTATCATCAAATCACCCAAACAATGGCCCCAAATTACTTTTTATCCTGTCTTGAATTTCAAAATTCTACAAGTAACTTTTAACTTGAGTCCTTTTAAGGCCCCCAAAATAACATTACCCATATTATCGAAAAAGGAAAGATTTGGTGTGAATCATAAAGAAAACATGTAAAGAGGAGGGCAAAGAATGTAAAATGTACAACTTGCCACTGTTGTTGGGCCTGTTCGTCCTTCCACTGGGTCAGTGACCTCGATCCTCATGACTGTCAAGTAAAACGGTCTGAGTGACACCTGTTTTCCCGGAACCCTTGATCCTTGCTCAGCCACTACTCCTGATATGCCCTCAAGAAGTGCATAGTAATGGAGTCAAGGAAATGGGCAGTTGCCAGGGGAGTTTTGCCATGCTTTTGACTAACCATTTATATGTAATCTCTCACCTCACTTGTAATGAGGAGAAAAGCATTTTTAAATTTGAAGAGCAGTATTGACTAGTCTAAAAAGCTTTAAATTGGGTTTCTGAAAAAGCATTCAGAATTTCGTACCTCAATTTTGATACATATCCCAGAAGGAACCAGTGAAGCAGTTTTTTCTCATTGGCTTTAAAAATCTGCATAAAAACTTTAAAGGTCAATAACACAGAAAGTTACTGAACTCTATCTAAAGGAAGTTAAAGAATAAATATTCCTTCCTAAGTTAAAACGTATATGAAATATTGAGATGCTGTCACTGGATGATTTGAGTTGCTCCAATCTTTTTATTTACTTTTTTCAGAATCCTCTTTGCAACACCCAACCAGGCTGTGAATATGGCATATGGATTTAGTTCTTATGATGGCTAAACTACAAGATAACATGCTATTTTTGTTATTTTGGTCATATAGATATGAATTTAGGGCCTGCACGCGGCTTACGTAAGGTGCATGACATAATTTAAATCTCTAATTAGTATTTAAAAAGTGCCTTCTCAAAAAAAGTGGCTTCTCTCCCAGGAAAGCAGTAGTTTGAAAATAAATCACAATATTTTTATGTCAAGCAACTGCCCCAAAACTATGAATAAAGAAGAGAATTGGAAATGGAGAAACTAGAAAAATGCCATAAAGAAAGCAAAAGAATTCTAAGCATTCATGTGCTAGCAGCAATATGGTAAGAAAATCTCTTCTCCAGTTCCATAATATTGCCACAAGATAAAGAGCCCCTCCCCACATATTAAGGGCTAAAATAGAATCGGAACAGCCTGGAGTACAAAGGCCAGCATTGGATAATTCTCTGGCCATGGACCCAGATCATCAGGCAGTACTCCCATCTTTAATAGCCAGCTTGAATTGGAAGACCTCAAATGTGTTCAGAAAAGCCCAACACCTGCCTCTCTGGGCAATAAGACATTCTGACTTAGAGAAATACATACAAAAAGAAACCAATACAAAAAGAAATAGCAGGCTCATGATTGATGCTTCATTGGGAAAATGAGCCAAGGAAGATTTCTACAGAGCAGAGCACCAAGTAAAGAGTGTGAACTCTTCCACTACCATCAATCACCACAGAGCAGTTCTGTGTTTTCATGGTATCTGCTGCTCAATAAGAGTCAGAGTGGCAGCAAATTTACAAAAAGACCAAACTAGAGAAAAGAAGGCAGTGATGGCAAAATATCATGGGAGATGCCATAATCAAGAAAAAAAAATTCTTGAATTCAGAAATTACATGAAAAGCGATGCAGAGGGATAGGATGCACTATGAAACCAAGATGCTCTTAGTGATGGGACCACCATGAGGTTATTTTTATAAAGAAAAAAGAAAAGGGCCAGGGTTTTGCCTTTAATTGCACATACTAATACACCAGTGAAAGAAACAGTTTAAAATGAACTATAACTCTTTTTAAATATTTTAAAATGTGCCTTAGATAACTTTTGAAGCCCCATGTACAGTATAATTTTTCTTTTTTCCCAAGATAAAAGCTTTCCTCAAGTGAATCAAGTGCCTTTAACATTTTTTATGTGTTTGCCACAGACATTCTATTTCTGCGAATTTATCTTAAAGTTTCTCAAAAAATACAGATTGTGGCACAAAGATGTTCTTCACAATATTTATAACTCATTCATTCATTCAACAAAATTTTTGGAGAATTTTCAATGGTCCAGGCAATGTATCTGCTGTTTGGAAAAAAAAAAAAATGAAATGCCATTGAAAGAGTGATAGTTAATGATGGTACAGGCATATGATGAGCTATTAAAATGATGTTTATGGAATGTTTAAAGACTTGGAAAAATGCTAATGATCTAATATTGAGTGAAAATGTACTTAGAAAATAGCACTTACCATATTATCTGAAATGTTAAAAATGCATTAAAAATAAAGAAATACTCCAAAATAACAATAGTAGTTGCCTTTAGGTATTAGAATGATGAATGCTCTCTTCCCCTGCATTGCTTTCGACAAAGAACATGTATTAATTTAATTATCATTAACAGATATTCAGATTTTGGTAAGCTAGCAATATCAGAACCTGACCCAACTGGCCATCTGATCAGAATTTTACTCTCTAGGTGTAAGAACTTGACTGAGTCTGAAAGAATGAAAGATATTCAGAGGCTTTTACAGATATGCCTCCCTGGAAGAAACAATGCTTGATTTTGTGGATTGCTTGTACCCTTCTTTCATATTATTAAAATGCTTTGTATTCCTAAGCATGGCAAGCAGATATGATTAAGACTTTATGTTAATATTCAAAAGTAAATTTGATATGTTTCGTATTATATGAATTTTACTGATGTATAATCTACATACAATTAAATGCACCAATTTTAAGTGTACAGTTTGATGAATTCTGACAAATATATACATGAATGCAACCACAATTCCAATAAAAATGCAGAATATTTCCATGATCCCTAAAAGTGCCCTAGCTTTGTGCTGCTTTGCAGGTAATCCTTAGTCCTATTCCTGGCATCAAACAACTACTGATCTGCTTTCTGTCAATATAGATTAGATTTGCCTTCTAGAATTTCACATTAATGGAATCACATAGAATATACTCTTTTTTGTACCTGATGTATTTCACTCAGCTTAAAGTTTTTGAGATCTACCCATGTTGTTGCATGTGTCAGTCTGGGATGCCATTATATACACTTTAGAATGGCTGAAAACTAAAAGATGTATGAAATCAAGTGTTGATGGGGAAACATAGGAACTCGAGTGCATTGCCAGTGGGAATATGAGATGGCTTAGTCACTTCAGCAAACAGTTTGGAATTTTTAATAAAGTTACACATACACTTGCCACATGACTCAGCAATTCTATACCTAGATATTTATTTAAGAGGAATGAAAACGTATGTCCACAAAAAGACATGTATATGAATAACAACGGCAGCTGAATAGAAGCATAACATTTATAATAGACATAATTGAAACGACTTAATGTCTATCAATAATTGAATGGATAAATAATTACATATATGTACAATGGAATGCAACTCAATAAAATGTTGACATCTTAAGCATATTTTTTAAAACTATGCTTAAAATATTTAGTTTATAAAAATGTGTTATCCTGAGAAAAAGGCTCCAGCAATGGGAAAATCATATAGATTTACTTATATACACACTATTACTTAGTAAAGTATTAGAAACAAAAACATTATTATTATTTTCTTAATTTAATTTTATTTTTTTAATTTTTTTTTTGAGACGGAGTCTCGCTCTGTCACCCAGGCTGGAGTGCAGTGGCGCAATCTTGGCTCACTGCAAGCTCCGCCTCCCGGGTTCACGCCATTCTCCTGCCTCAGCCTCCCGAGTAGCTGGGACTACAGGCACCCGCTACCATGCCCAGCTAATTTTTTGTATTTTTAGTAGAGACGGGGTTTCACCATGTTGGCCAGGATAGTCTCGATCTCTTGACCTCGTGATCCACCCGCCTCGGCCTCCCAAAGTGCTAGGATTACAGGCGTGAGCCACCGTGCCCGGCCACATTATTTATTTTTAAATAAGCTCCAATCAGGGTTTAAATTAATAAAGTCAGTGTTCTCAATTCAAAAGCACATTTGTTTATTACTTATTTTTAAGATGAATAAAATTTTTGATAACATTTGTCATATTATTCAGGGAAGATATTAAACTTGTTAAAACATCAGGAAACAGAAATAAATAGTTATTACACAAAACTTACAAGTTTTAAAATAAGTCCCACACTCCTATTGTGTAGTCTTCTACTAAGCTCTGGTGAAAACCTTATTTTTCTTCAAATGAAAAACTCCAATAGTCAGAAATGAAATTGTTTCATTTTTCTTTCATTTGAAAATCAAGTACTGAACACAGAATTAGACATGGTCCTTGCTCAGTGGGTTTCACAATCTACAATGCTAGCCTGATTTTCTTTCTGCCAAAACTCTATATAAGAGCACACACTTGATAGGAACTTGTTTACTATTGCTAAGATATACTTTTAAGTCCTGATATACTACTGAAAGAAAGTTCACAATCCTTTGAAAAACCAGGGCCTTGGGCATGCTGGCAGGCCAGGCACAATAACATACACTTGTATCAAATAGAGGAGAGTTCTGTGTCAAGAATGGAATTCTAATAATGACTTGTCTTTTTCTAGTTTACTATTTAATAAAGAGTCAACTTTACTTCTATATGTGCAAGTTTATAGTCTAGCACAGTACCTAGAATATAGTAAAATATTTGTTAGATTGGTAGAGCAAGTTAAAAATATGTATTTGAAATAAAACATTGTCAATAATAAAAATGTTCAGTTGTAGTCTGAAATTATAAAATGATTAAAACTTAAGATAACCCCTAAAATAAAATAAAATTTGAAATGATTTTCACATCTCTGCTAAATTTTTGGCCATTATGAAGTTTTCTCTCCCTATTTTCCTGAAATTGTTTTCAACCAGTGAAGTGATTCTTGGCTTTACATATGAGGCAATGTAATATACAGTAAAAATGTACTTGTTCACATTAAGGGGAAACAAGAAATTTCACATATTAAAGACGTACTATATCTTAAATACTGAGCTAAACAAGTTAATTCATCCACTCAACAAATATTGTTTAGGTGGCTACTATGTGTCAGATATTGTTTTTGTGCTGGTGGACATAGCAGTGAACAATTCAGAAATGCCCTTCAGACTATGGATCTTTCATTCTAGTGGAAGGTGCATCAAATTGGGAAAACAGAAAAAGAAGAAAACTAATAAACAAATAAATGTTTGTGTAACATTATGTCCAGTTATAAACCTAGTTTCATTCATTCTCAACACAAGCTTGCAACTTGGCTATTTAGGAAAGTGCAAAGAAGAGATTTCATCTAACTTGTCCTAAAGTCATGCTATAGTATAGTAGTAATATAACCCAGGTCCTTCAGACTGGGAATTCCTTGCTGTTTCCACTTATTTACATTAGGGAAAATAATCCAAAAACAATTCCTAAGTTCACAAATTAAAATAAAGAAGGAAGAAAATGGAAGGAGAAAGGAAAACGACTTTAGAAGTAAATGCTTACCTCTGTGTAGAAGCCATGAGCATGTGCATTGTGTACCTCCCTTTATGGATATGGATAAAACAACTAACTGAGGGCCCCAGCTGTTGTGCTATGAAATCTACTGTGGCATTTGCACTGATCCCTCCAGCTGCTCTCAGCCAGTGATGGAGCACAGCAGGGATATTAAGTGAAACCCATTCCTGGGAGACATGGGACTCCTCTAATAGCCGGCTTTAGCTAGAGGAATTCCTGAGCAGCATCATTGTCAAGGGCATTTCTCTCCCTGTCTTTTTGTTTGTTTGTTTTTTGAGACAGAATCTCACTCTGTCACCCAGGTGGGAGTGCCGTGGCATGATCACAGCTCACTACAGCCTCCACCTCCTGAGCTCAGGTGATCTTCCCACCTTAGTCCCCTCAGTAGCTGGTACTGCGGACATGTGCCATTATGTCCAGCTAGTTTTTTTGTATTTTTTTGTAAAGACAGGATTTCGCCATGTTGCCCAGGCTGATCTCGAACTCCTGAGCTCAAGATATTTGCCCACCTTGACCTCCTAAAGTTCTGGGGTTACAGGTATGAGCCACCAGGCCCGGCCCTCCCTCTGTCTTTCACTCACGCTGTGGTCTAAAGGTGCCCCTAGCCTTACCAGGTCCCCTCTCCATTTTGTCTCACAGAGGTATCTACTATAATACTTGCATGTTTAATCCCATCTTGGGTTACCTTCTTGAATGAACTAGCAAGTGGCAATGAGTGATCATAGCAAATGAGCAGTAAGACAAGGATTTGGGACTGGTTAATCCACTACCAGGCAGGTGAAGAAGATACCATCCTGGTTAGTATGTGGGGGATGGGTAGTACTTGGCACAATATGGTGGCTCAATTGCTGAAGATTTTGCCAATGGTGACCTGGGAAAATGTCCTGGTGGAGAAACTGCCATGGCAGGTGTAATAATTTTGACATCTAAAAAACAGGTGGGAAACAGTGTCTACAAATCAGAGTGAGATGTCCTTTAGAAGAACAATGAGAGATGGAGGGTTGTTAACAAGGACTTTATAGTTAAGTGTGTGAATCAGAGAGTCTCAGTTGTACCTTATAAAGAGGCCCTTATCACCTGTAATGGAAGGGTAAACACAATTAAGTGATAGGCTGAAGATTATTGTCAGAGGCACAGAGCTCCAGAAATGCTTGAATGCTTAGCTAAGACAGATTTGTTATATGAACATGAGGGCGCTGGCGGGGAAAATCTATGGTCTTGAAAAAATAGGACAGGGAAATCTGAGTGGATGGCCCTGAGAATGCTGGCTATTCAAACTGCTGGTTGCCCATGGAGTCTCAGGTTTGCAAAGGAATGTCATCCTTCTTAGTGAGAGCTAGTGCTTCTACTGGTCAGGAAGATTAGGTTCTCCTCATAAGGTAACAGGTACCTGCCCCTAGAAGCTGTACCCATCTCCTTTTCTGCTTGCCAGGTCACTAATTAAGGTTAAATCCAAGCATAACCCAGCTGGTGATATGCTAGGGCTGATAATGGAGGAAACAGACTATACTCAAAAATTTGCAAAACTTGTTGTCATATACTTACAAGAGCAAATGGGGGAACTCCTTGAATTAAATTTTGAGGGTGTTTGATCAAGGAGAACAGAATTTTTAAAAAATTTACATTATTATGGGTACATAACACTTGTATATATATATATGTGCATATTATGTTTTGATATAAGAGTACAACGTATAATGATCAACTCAGGGTAATTGACATATCCATTACCTCAAGCATTTATCATTTCTTTGTTAGGAAGATTCCAATTACATTATTTTAGTTATTTTCAATATACAATAAATATATTGTTAGCTATAGTGCTCCTATATTGTGTGGGTGGGAGGAGTTAAAAGAGGAGTGGTTAATACCACATGCTCTCACTCACCAGTGGGAGCTGAACAATGAGAACACATGGACACAGAGAGGGGACATCACATACCAGGGCCTGTTAGGGGGTGGGAGGCAAGGGGAGGGAGAGCATCAGGACAAATACCTAATGCATGCAGGGCTTGAAACCTACATGACCAGTTGATAGGTGCAGCAAACCACCACGGCACATGTATACCTATGTAACAAACCTGCACATTCTGCACATGTATCCCAGAACTTAAAGTAAAATAAAAAATGAAAAAAGAGGGGATGGTTAATGGGTACAAAAATACAGTTAGATAGAAGGAATAAGATAACACTAGTGACAAGAGCAAATGAGGGAACTCCTTGAATTGTGTTATCTTATTGCTTCTATCTAACTGTATTTTTGTACCCATTAACCATCCCCACTTTCCCCCACCCACACACTACTCTTTCTTGCCAGTGGTAATGATCATTCTACTCTCCATCTCCACGAGTTAATTTTTTGCATAACTCCCACATGTGATTGAGAACATGTGATATTTGTCTTTCTGTGCCTGGTTTATTTCACATAATATAATGTCCTCCAGTTCCATCCACATTGCTGCAAATTACAGAATTTCATTCTTTTATATGGCTGAATAATATTGCATTATGTATAGGAACCACATTTTATTTATCTGTTATTCATCCACTGATGGATACTTAGGTTAATTCCGTAACTTGGCTATTACGTAGAGTGCCGCAACAAACATCAGAGTGCAGGTATCTCTTCAATATAGTGATTTCATTTTTTTGGATAGGTTTCCAGCAACAGGATTGTTGAATCATATGGTGGTTCTATTTTCAATTTTTTCAGGAATCTCTATACTCTTCCCCATAGTGGCTGACTAATTTACATTCCCACAAGTACAAAGATTTCCCTCTCTCCATGTCTTCACCAGCATCTGTTATTTTTGGTCTTTCTGATAATAGCTATTCTAACAAGGGTGAGAAGATATATCATTGTGGCTTTCATTTGTGTTTTTCTGATGATTAGTGATGTTGAGCATTTTTTCATATGCCTGTTGGCCATTTGTATGCCTCCTTTAGAGAAATGTCTATTTACATCTTTTGACCATTTCTTAATCATATTTGTTTTTCTCCCTATTGAGTTGTTTGAGCTCCTTATATATTCTGGTTATTAATATCTTGTTAGATAAACAGATTGCAAATATTTTCCCCAATCTGTGGGTTGTCTGTTTACTGTAGATTGTTTCCTTTGCTGTGCAGAGCTTTTTAGCTTGATATAATCCCATTTGTCCCCTTTTGCTTTGGTTGTCTGTGCTTCTGAATTCTTACATAAAAAATCTTTGCCCAAACCAACACTCTGGAGCATTTCCCTAGTGTTTTCTTCTAGTAGTTTCATAGTTTCTGATGTTAGATTTGTATTTAATTCATTTTGATTTGACTTTTGTACATGGTGAGACAAAGGGGTCTAGTGTCATTCTTCTGCATATGGACATCCAGTTTTCCCTGATCATTTAGCGAAGAGAACAAAGCTAGAGGCATCACATTACCTGACTTCAAATTATACTCTGGAGGGGGGAGCCAAGATGGCCGAATAGGAACAGCTCTGGTCTACAGCTCCCAGCGTGAGCGACACAGAAGACGGGTGATTTCTGCATTTCCATCTGAGGTACCGGGTTCATCTCACTAGGGAGTGCCAGACAGTGGGTGCAGGACAGTGGGTGCAGGACACCATGCACGAGCCAAAGCAGGGTGAGGCATTGCCTTACTCGGGAAGTGCAAGGGGTCAGGGAGTTCCCTTTCCTAGTCAAAGAAAGGGGTGACAGACGGCACCAGGAAAATCGGGTCACTCCCACCCCAATACTGAGCTTTTCTGACAGGCTTAAAATATGGCGCACCAGGAGATTATATCCCGCACATGGCTCAGAGGGTCCTACACCCATGGAGTCTCGCTGATTGCTACCACAGCAGTCTGAGATCAAACTGCAAGGCGGCAGCGAGGCTGAGGGAGGGGCACCGGCCATTGCCCAGGCTCACTTAGGTAAACAAAGCAGCCGGGAAGCTCCAACTGGGTGGAGCCCACCACAGCTCAAGGAGGCCACCTGCCTCTGTAGGCTCCACCTCTGGGGGCAGGTCACAGACAAACAAAAAGACAGCAGTAACCTGTATAGACTTAAATGTCCCTGTCTGACAGCTTTGAAGAGAGCATTGGTTCTCCCAGCACACAGCTGAAGATCTGAGAATGGGCAGACTGCCTCCTCAAGTGGGTCCCTGACCCCTGACCCCCGAGCAGCCTAACTGGGAGGCACCCCGCAGTAGGGGCAGACTGACACCTCACAAGGCCGGGTACTCCTCTGAGACAAAACTTCCAGAAGAACGATCAGACAGCAGCATTCGCGGTACACAAAAATCCGCTGTTCTGCAGCCACCACTGCTGGTACCCAAGCAAACAGGGTCTGGAGTAGACCTCTAGCAAACTCTAACATACCTGCAGCTGAGGGTCCCGTCTGTTAGAAGGAAAACTAACAAACAGAAAGGACATCCACACCAAAAACCCATCTGTACATCACCATCATCAAAGACCAAAAGTATATAAAACCACAAAGATGGGGAAAAAAACAGAGCAGAAAAACTGGAAACTCTAAAAAGCAGAGCACCTCTCCTCCTCCAAAGGAACGCAGCTCCTCACCAGCAACGGAACAAAGCTGGATGGAGAATGACTTTGACAAGTTGAGAGAAGGCTTCAGATGATCAAACTACTCCAAGCTACAGGAGGAAATTCAAACCAAAGGCAAAGAAGTTGAAAACTTTGAAAAAAATTTAGACGAATGTATAACTAGAATAAGCAATACAGAGAAGTGCTTTAAAGGAGCTGATGGAGCTGAAAGCCAAGGCTCGAGAACTACGTGAAGAATGCAGAAGCCTCAGGAGCCGATGCGATCAACTGGAAGAAAGGGTATCAGTGATGGAAGATGAAATGAATGAAATGAAGTGAGAAGGGAAGTTTAGAGAAAAAAAGAA
Source organism: Homo sapiens (assembly GCF_000001405.40). NCBI lineage: Eukaryota > Metazoa > Chordata > Mammalia > Primates > Hominidae > Homo > Homo sapiens. Next base: position 98,087,755 of record NC_000006.12, on the reverse strand, counting down.
TAAAAAGAAACGAGAAAAAGAAAAAAAGCCTCCAAGAAATATAGGACTACGTGAAAAGACCAAATCTACATCTGATTGGTGTACCTGAAAGTGACCGGGAGAATGGAACCAAGTTGGAAAACACTCTGCAGGATATTATCCAGGAGAACTTCCCCAATCTAGCGAGGCAGGCCAACATTCCGATTCAGGAAATACAGAGAATTCCACAAAGATACTCCTTGAGAAGAGCAACTCCAAGACACATAATTGTCAGATTCACCAAAGTTGAAATGAAGGAAAAAATGTTAAGGGAAGCCAGAGAGAAAGGTTGGGTTACCCACAAAGGGAAGCCCATCAGACTAACAGCAGATCTCTCAGCAGAAACTCTACAAGCCAGAAGAGAGTGGGAGCCAATATTCAACATTCTTAAAGAAAAGAATTTTCAACCCAGAATTGCATACCCAGCCAAACTAAGCTTCATAAGTGAAGGATAAATAAAATACTTTAGAGACAAACAAATGCTGAGAGATTTTGTCACCACCAGGCCTGCCCTACAAGAGCTCCTGAAGGAAGCACTAAACACAGAAAGGAACAACCGGTACCAGCCACTGCAAAATCATGCCAAATTGTAAAGACCATCGAGACTAGGAAGAAACTGCATCAACTAACGAGCAAAATCACCAGCTAACATCATAATGACAGGATCAAATTCACACATAACAATATTAACCTTAAATGTAAATGGACTAAATGCTCGAATTAAAAGACACAGACTGGCAAATTGTATAAAGAGTCAAGACCCATCAGTGTGCTGTATTCAGGAAACCCATCTCACATGCAGAGACACACATAGGCTCAGAATAAAAGGATGGAGGAAGATCTACCAAGCAAATGGAAAACAAAAAAAGGCAGGGGTTGCAATCCTAGTCTCTGATAAAACAGACTTTAAACCAACAAAGATCAAAAGAGACAAAGAAGGCCATTACATAATGGTAAAGGGATCAATTCAACAAGAAGAGCTAAGTATCCTAAATACATTGCGCCCAATACAGGAGCACCCAGATTCATAAAGCAAGTCCTGAGTGACCTACAAAGAGACTTAGACTCCCACACAATAATAATGGGAGACTTTAACACCCCACTGTCAAAATTAGACAGATCAACGAGACAGAAAGTTAACAAGGATACCCAGGAATTGAACTCAGCTCTGCAACAAGCAGACCTAATAGACATCTACAGAACTCTCCACCCCAAATCAACAGAAGATACATTTTTTTCAGCACCACACCATACCTATTGCAAAATTGACCACATAGTTGGAAGTAAAGCTCTCCTCAGCAAATGTAAAAGAACAGAAATTATAACAAACTGTCTCTCAGACCACAGTGCAATCAAACTAGAACTCGGGATTAAGAAACTCACTCAAAACCGCTCAACTATGTGGAAACTGAACAATCTGCTTCTGAATGACTACTGGGTACACAATGAAATGAAGGCAGAAATAAAGAGGTTCTTTGAAACCAACGAGAACAAAGACACAACATACCAGAATCTCTGGGACACGTTCAAAGCAGTGTGTAGAGGGAAATTTATAGCACTAAATGCCCACAACACAGCAGGAAAGAACCAAAATTGACACCCTAACATCACAATTAAAAGAACTAGAAAAGCAAGAGCAAACACATTCAAAAGCTAGCAGAAGGCAAGAAATAACTAAAATCAGAGCAGAACTGAAGGAAATAGAGACACAAAAAACCCTTCAAAAAATTAATGAATCCAGGAGCTGGTTTTTTGAAAGGATCAACAAACTTGATAGACCGCTAGCAAGACTAATAAAGAAGAAAAGAGAGAAGAATCAAATAGATGCAATAAAAAATGATAAAGGGGATATCACCATCAATCCCACAGAAATACAAACTACCACCAGAGAATACTACAAACACCTCTACGCAAATAAACTAGAAAATCTAGAAGAAATGGAAAAATTTCTCGACACATACACCCTCCCAAGACTAAACCAGGAAGAAGTTGAATCTCTGAATAGACCAATAACAGGATCTGAAATTGTGGCAATAATCAATAGCTTACCAACCAAAAAGAGTCCAGGACCAGATGGATTCACAGCCGAATTCTACCAGAGGTACAAGGAGGAAATAGTACCATTCCTTCTGAAATTATTCCAATCAATAGAAAAAGAGGGAATCCTCCCTAACTCATTTTATGAGGCCAGCATCATCCTGATACCAAAGCCAGACAGAGACACAACCAAAAAACAGAATTTTAGACCAATATCCTTGATGAACATTGATGCAAAAATCCTCAATAAAATACTGGCAAACCGAATCCAGCAGCACATCAAAAAGCTTATCCACCATGATCAAGTGGGCTTCATCCCTGGGATGCAAGGCTGATTCAATATATGCAAATCAATAAATGTAATCCAGCATATAAACAGAACCAAAGACGAAACCACATGATTATCTCAATAGATGCAGAAAAGGCCTTTGACAAAATTTAACAACCCTTCGTGCTAAAAACTCTCTATAAATTAGTTATTGATGGGACGTATCTCAAAATAATAAGAGCTATCTATGACAAACCCACAGCCAATATCATACTGAATGGGCAAAAACTGGAAGCATTCCCTTTGAAAACTGGCACAAGACACAAATGCCCTCTCTCACCACTCCTATTCAACATAGTGTTGGAAGTTCTGGCCAGGGCAATTAGGCAGGAGAAGGAAATAAAGGGTATTCAATTAGGCAAAGAGGAAGGCAAATTGTCCCTGTTTGCAGATGACATGATTGTATACCTAGAAAACCCCACTGTCTCAGCCCAAAATCTCCTTAAGCTGATAGGCAACTTCAGCAAAGTCTCAGGATACAAAATCAATGTGCAAAAATCACAAGCATTCTTATACACCAATAAGAGACAAACTGAGAGCCAAATCATGAGTGACCTCCCATTCACAATTGCTTCAAAGAGAATAAAATACCTAGGAATCCAACTTACAAGGGATGTGAAGGACCTCTTCAAGGAGAACTACAAACCACTGCTCAATGAAATAAAAGAGGATACAAACAAATGGAAGAACATTCCATGCTCATGTGTAGGAAGAATCAATATCGTGAAAATGGCCATACTGCCCAAGGTAATTAATAGATTCAATGCCATCCCCACCAAGCTACCAATGACTTTCCTCACAGAATTGGAAAAAACTACTTTAAAGTTCATATGGAACCAAAAAAGAGCCTGCATTGCCAAGTCAATCCGAAACCAAAAGGACAAAGCTGGAGGCATCATGCTACCTGACTTCAAACTATACTACAAGGCTACAGTAACCAAAACAGCACGGTACCGGTACCAAAACAGAGATATAGATCAATGGAACAGAACAGAGCCCTCAGAAATAACGCCATGTATCTACAACTATCTGATCTTTGACAAACCTGAGAAAAACAAGCAATGGGGAAAGGATTCCCTATTTAATAAATGGTGCTGGGAAAACTGGCTAGCCATATGTAGAAAGCTGAAACTGGATCCCTTCCTTACACCTTATACAAAAGTTAATTCAAGATGGCTTAAAGACTTAAATGTTAGACCTAAAACCATAAAAACCCTAGAACAAAACCTAGGCATTACCATTCAGGACATAGGCATGGGCAAGGACTTCATGTCTAAAACACCAAAAGCAATGGCAACAAAAGCCAAAATTGACAAATGGGATCTAACTAAACTAAAGAGCTTCTGCACAGCAAAAGAAACTACCATCAGAGTGAACAGGCAACCTACAAAATGGGAGAAAATTTTCGCAACCTACTCCTCTGACAAAGGGCTAATATCCAGAATCTACAATGAACTCAAACACATTTACAAGAAAAAAACAAACAACCCCATCAAAAAGTGGGTGAAGGACATGAACAGACACTTCTCAAAAGAAGGCATTTATGCAGCCAAAAAACACATGAAAAAATGCTCACCATCACTGGCCGTCAGAGAAATGCAAATCAAATCCACAATGAGATACCATCTCACACCAGTTAGAATGGCAATCATTAAAAAGTCAGGAAACAACAGGTGCTGGAGAGGATGTGGAGAAATAGGAACACTTTTACACTGTTGGTGGGACTGTAAACTAGTTCAACCATTGTGGAAGTCAGTGTGGCGATTCCTCAGGGATCTAGAAGTAGAAATACCATTTGACCCAGCCATCCCATTACTGGGTATATACCCAAAGGACTATAAATCATGCTGCTATAAAGACACATGCACATGCATGTTTATTGCGGCACTATTCACAATAGCAAAGACTTGGAACCAACCCAAATGTCCATCAATGATAGACTGGATTAAGAAAATGTGGCACATATACACCATGGAATACTATGCAGCCATAAAAAATGATGAGTTCATGTCCTTTGTAGGGACATGGATGAAATTGGAAATCATCATTCTCAGTAAACTATCGCAAGGACAAAAAACCAAACACCACATGTTCTCACTCATAGGTGGGAATTGAACAATGAGAACACATGGACACAGGAAGGGGAACATCACACTCTGGGGACTGTTGTGGGGTGGGGGGAGTGGGGAGGTATAGCATTAGGAGATATACCTAATGCTAAATGATGAGTTAATGGGTGCAGCATGCCAGCATGGCACATGTATACATATGTAACTAACCTGCACATTGTGCACATGTACCCTAAAACTTAAAGTATAATAATAAAAATTAAAAAAATAAAAAAAAAAAGCAAGACCCAATGGTAAGCTGTCTCCAAGAGACCCATTTCACATATCATGACATCCATAGACTCAAAATCTTGGGATGGAGGAAAATCTAACATGCAAATGGAAATCAGAAAAAAGCAGGGGTTGCAGTACTAATTTCAGACAAAATAAACTTTAAACCAAGAAAAGTTAAAAAAGAAAAAAAGACAAGGGCATTGCATTATGGTAGAAGTTTCATTCAACAGGAAGACCTAACAAACCTACATCCAGCACAGGAGCACCCTGCAACTTCTTAGAGACCTAGATAGACTTAGACTCCCACACGTTAATAGTAGGAGACTTCAACACTCAACTGACAGTACTAAACCGATCATTGAGTCAGAAAATTAATAAAGGTATTTAGGACCTGAGCTCAACATGGGACCAAATGGATCTGACAGACCTCTACAGAACTCTCTACCGAAAACCATCAGAATATACATTCTTGTCATTGACATATGACACATACTCTAAAATCAGCCACATTACCAAACAGAAAACAATCCTCAGCAAATATAAAAGAACTGAAATCATACCAAACACACTGTATGACCACAGTGCAGTAAATAGTAATTAAGACTGAAAAACATCATTCAAAACCAGGTAATTACATGGAAATTAAGCAACATGCTCCTGAATGACTTTTGGGTAAATAATGAAATTAAGGCAGAAATCAAGTACTTTGAAACTAATGAGGACAAAGTTAAAACACACCAGCACCTCCGGGACATAGTTAAGGCAGTGTTGAGGGAAATTAACAGCACTAAATGCTCACATCAAAAAGTTATAAAGATCCCAAATTAATTACATAACATCATAATGAAAAGAATTAGAGAAGCAAAAGCAAACCAACCCCAAAGTCAGCAGAAGACAAAAAATAACCAAAATCGGAGCTGAACTGAAGGAAATCAAGAAACAAAACCAATCCAAAGAACAACAAATCCAGGGGTTGGTTGTTTGAAAGTATTAATAAGATACATAGTCACTAGTTACAGTAATAAAGAAAAAATATCCATATAAACACAATTAGAAATGACAAAGGGGCTGTTACCACGGACCTCAGAGATACAAAAGTAAGCATCAGATACTACAATGAACACCTTTATACACACAAACTAGAAAACCAAGACGAGATTAATAAATCCTTAGACACATATAAGCTTCCAAGACTAAATCAGGAAGAAATTAATTCCCTAAATGGACAAATAATGAGCTGCCAAATTGAATCAGTATTAAATAGCCCACCAGCACCACCAACAACAAAAAGCCCAGCACCAAACAGATTTACAGTTGAATTCTATCAGAGGTAAAATGAAGAGCTGGTGCTATTCCTACTGAAACTATTTCAAAAAATTGAGGAGGAGGGATTCCTCCCTAACTAATTCTAGGATACTAGTATCATCCTGATACCAAAACCTGGCAGAGACACACACACACAAAAAGGAACCTCAGATCAATATGATGAACAATGATAAGAAAATCCTCAGAAACTACTTGGAAACCAGATCCAGCAGCACATCAAAAAGAGTTAGCCACCATGATCAAGTAGGCTTCATCCCCAGGTGCAAGCTTGGTTCCTCATACACAAATCAATAAATGTGATTCATCACATTTAACAGAACTAAAGACAAAAACCACATGATTATCTCAGTAGCTGCAAAGAGGCTTTCAATAAAATTCAACATCCCTTTATGTTAAAAATTCTCAATAAACGAGGTATTGAATGAACACAACTCATAATAGTAAGAGTCCTCTATGACAAACTCACAGCCAGCATCATAATGAATGGGCAAAAGCTAGAAACTTTCCCCTTGAAAACTGAAACAAGCCAAGGATGTCTACTCTCACCACTTATATTCAACACAGTATTGGAAGTCCTGGCCAGAGGAATCAGGAAAAAGAAATAAATGACATCTACATAGGAAGAGAGGAAGTCAAACTATCCCTGTGTGCAGACCATATGATTCTATATCTAGAAAATGCCATCATCTTGGCCCAAAAGCTCCTTTAGCCGATAAACAACTTCAGTGAAATATCAGGATACAAAATCAATATACAAATATCACTAGCATTCCTATACACCAACAACTGTCAAGCCAAGAGCCAAACCAGGAACGTGATCCCATTCACAATTACCACAAAGAAAATAAAATACCTGGGAATGCAGATAACCAGGGAGGTGAAAGATCTCTACAATGATTATTTAAAAACACTGCTCAAAGAAATCAGAGATGACGCAAACAAATGGCAAAACATTCCATGCTCATGGATAGGAATAATCAGTATCATTAAAATGGCCATATTACCCAAAGCAATTTATAGATTTAATGCTATTCCTATCAAACTACTAATGACATTCTTCACTGAACTAAAAAAAATAAATGTATATGGAACCAAAACAGCCCAAATAACCAAGGCAATCCTAAGCAAAAAGAACAAAACTGAAGGTATCATGCTACATGATTTCAAACCACAGGACCACACTAACCAACACAGCGTGGTACTGGTACAAAAACAGACACATACCAATGGAACAGAATAGAAAGCTCAGAAATAAGGCTGCATAAATAGGACCATCTGATCTACAACAAAGCTGACAAAAACAAGCAATGGGGACAGGACTCCCTGTTCAATAAATGGTGCTGGGATAACTGGCTAGACATATGCAGAAGATTTAAGCTGGACCCTTTCCTTATACCATATACAAAGATCTACTCGAGATGGATTAAAGACTTAAATGTATAACTGAAAACTATAAAAACCCCAAAAGACAACCTAGGCAATGCCATTCTGGACATAGGAATGGGCAAAGATTTCATGACAAAGATGCCAAAAGCAATCACAACAAAAGCAAAAATTGACAAAAGGAATCTATTTAAAGAGCTTCTGCAGAACAAAAGAAACTATCAATGGAGTAAACAACCTACAGAATGGGAGAAAATATTTGCAAACTATGCATCTGACAAAGATCTAATATCCAGTATTTAATTAAGAAACTTAAATTTATAAGTGGATAAAAACAACTCCATTAAAAAGTGGGCAAATGACATAAACACTTTTCACAAGAAGACACACATGCAGCCAACAAGCATATGAAAAAAAGTTTGTTATCTCTGATCATTAGAGAAATGAAAATCAAAACCACAATGAGATACCATCTTACACCAGTCAGAATGGCTATTATTAAAAAGTAAGAAAATAACAGAATACTGGTGAGGTTGCAGAGAAAAGGGAACACTTACACACTGTTGAAGAGAGTGTAAATTAGTTTAACCATTGTGGAAAGCAGTGTGGTGATTCCTCAAAAAGCTAAAAACAGAACTACCTATTCTACCCAGCAATCCCATTACTGGGCATATACCCAGAGGAATATAAATCATTCTACCCTAAAGACACATGCACATAAATGCTCATTGCAGCACTATTCACAATAGCAAAGACATGGAATCAACCTAAATGTCCATGAATGAATGACTGGATAAAGAAAATGTGGTACATATACACCATGGAATACTATGCAGCCATATAAAAGAACAAGGTCAGATCGTTTGTAGGAACATGGATGGAGCTGGAGGTCATAATCCTTAGCAAACTAATGCAGGAACAAAAAACCGAATACTGCATGTTCTCACTTATAAGTGGGAGCTAAATTATGAGAACTCATAGACACAAAGAAGGAAACAACAGGCCGGGCACGGTGGCTCATGCCTGTAATCTCAGCACTTTGGGAGGCCGAGGCAGGTGGATCATGAGGTCAGGAGATCAAGACCAGCCTGGACAACATGGTAAAACCCCGTCTCTACTAAAAAAAAAAAAATACAAAAATTAGCCAGGCATGGTGGTGGATGCCTATAATCCCAGCTTCTCATGAGGCTGAGGTAGGAGAATTGCTTGAACACAGGAGGCAGAGGTTGCAGTGGCCGAGATTGTGCCATTGCAGTCCAACCTGGGCAGCAGAGTGAGACTCCATCTCAAAAAAAAAGAAAAAAAAAAAGAAGGGAACAACAGACACTGGGGTCTACTTGAGGGTGGAGGGTGAGAGGAGGAATACAAGCAGAACAAATAACTATTGGGTACTATGCTCAGTACCTGAGTGACAAAATCAAACCCCCATGACATGAGATGAGCTATAAAACAAACATACATATGTACCCCTGAACCTAAAATAAAAGTAAAAGGAAATACATATTGTTACAGCCTTTTTCTTTTTTAACCATGGTATCAATCACTGTAAATGCAACAAAAATTAGTCCTCAATGCTGAATTTTTTAACACAAATTTCACAGGTGAAACAAAGATTTTTTCAAATTTACATCAAGATTATTTAAGTATATGGAAATATAATTTCTCAGATCAAGATTGGATATGTAAGTTAGGTATATACATGTATATCATATATATTGCATTATATATTTATCATTATATACATATATATGTGTTTATGATTTTAAGGTCTGAAACTATGGCATCCATTATAACATGTGAATATACATTCTGAATTTCTCAGTTAGTATAATTGGTGAGGCCTTGTACTTTCCCTTCTATTCTTTTTTTTTTCCAAGAATTATGTAAATACTTTAGGTAGATAACTATCTAATATAACATCAATTTCCTTTGCATTCCCTTCTTAATTCCCCATGAAATAAAGGCTTGTAATCCTTCTAGAACATCTCTAAAATTCCTCAACATTCCTGTTTTAATTGTTTCTAAAATAATTCTTGAGGACCATAATATATCCATGACTTTCATCTAAAGATATATTGTATATCTCATAGCTGATTTGAGCATCTTATAGGAAAAACTGCATTATACATGATTACAAAACTGTATTATAACTGGTTTCATGTTTTGCTTACATTTATACTAAATAAGCCTATTTTTTGAAAGCAACATACTTTATTTAAAGAATAACTAATTCAATATTCTAAAAATTACTTCTGTTTTACAAAAGTAAGAATTATTATATTTTTACACAGGAGGAGAGTAAAGATCATAATATAACAGTTATCCCTTCTTCTCAGCCTCCCACCCAAAAATAAATGCACGTAAATCTTTGTTTACAAGTGGAAGCTTAAATAAATATATTTATCTCCCCTCTTCCCTGAGACTCATTAAAATAAAAGAAGGAAAAAATGGTATACAGTCATAAAAGGACCGAGTTAGAGTCTTTAATAATTAAGAAATTGTAATAGATTTCTCGTAGATGTTTAGCAGACAGAAAAACAAATGAAGATATTTCCTAGGGAACATGTAGAGAAGGCAGAGCCAAAAGGTAGCCTGCCACCTGTTCAAAATCTCAGAACACTGGAAACTGAGAAATGCCAGGTAATACGGAATTAAATGGGAGACTGGGTGCTAAATATGTGTTAATTAAAAGTCTATATGAGGACAACTTACTGCCCCAAACACAAATCTCTCCCCCAATTTGGGTGCAGATTTACTAAGTGGACAAGAGTTTACTCCCTGGCAATAAGTAAGTCAACAAATTAAGTTAAATCTGTGCTATCTTCTTTATAACAATTGGAAGATCTGAGATAAATAATTTCTGCATTTTGGTGACTTCAGAAAATTGGCTAATTCTTTGCGTCAACACTGTAAAGTGAATCTGTTCTTTAATAAAACTGGAGAATTTGCCTTCACTTCTTTGCTATTGTCTTGAACCTACTCCATGAAACAGCTTTTGACAAGGTTGCCAAAAACCTCCATATTTTAAAAAGTCAATGTTTAATTTTCCTTATTATTCCTCTCTTTCTCTCATAAGCCTTGATAGCTATTTTCCCTTCCTTCCTTCCTTCCTTCCTTCCCGCCTTCCCTCCTTTCCTTTCCCTTCCCTTCCCTTCCCTGCCCTCCCCTCCCCTCCCCTCCCCTTCCCTCCCCTCCCTTCCCTTCCTTTTCTCCCTCCCTCCCTCCCTCCCTTTCTCTCTCTCTCTCTCTCTCTCTCTCTCTCTCTCTCTGTTTTCTTGCGACGATATCTTTCTCTGTAGCCCAGGCTGGAGTGCAGTGGTGCAATCTCAGCTCACTGCAACTTCTGCCTCGTGGGTTCAAGCGATTCTCCTGCCTCAGCCTCCTAAGTGGCTGGTACTACAAGCACGTGTGCTACCCCACCCATAAAATTTGTTTGTTTGCTTGTTTTTGGTTTTTGGTTTTTTGTTTTTTGCTTTTTTTTTTTTTTTGTAGAGAGGAGTTTCACCATATTGGCCCGGCTGGTCTTGAACTCCTGACCTCAAGTGATCCACCTCCCTCAGCCTCCCAAAGTGTCTCCTTCTTTCTTGAAACATCTTTTCCATTTGGTTTACAAAACTAGACACATTGCTGGTTTAACCTCCTACTTCACTGACTAATCCTCAGTGTCCTGAGCTGGATACTTCTTCTTTTCCCAACTACCAGGCATTGATTGGTGTTCCCTGCTATTTATCTATCCCCCTTCCACAGGAAAGTTCATGTGGTCTCATCAAACAAACAAAATTGTGGGGGAAAATTGTTGTTTTAAGCCACAACATTTTTAGGTGGTTTTCTTCACATTAATAAGTAACTGAAATACAGGATTATTTCTGTAATAATAAGGGATCGTATATATATGTTTTTGTATATTTACTGTTATATACACATACTTTTAAAATATAAAACTGTAGCATCCTATACAAGTTATTTTGTAAATTATACTTTATAATTTTCAATTTTTATTAATATATTTTATGCTGTTAAATATCCCTCAGCATCATTCATAGTGGATGCATACTTTGATATTGGATGTGCTATTTATTTAAATAATACCTGGTTATTAAACATCAAAACTATATCTGTTTTTTAACCACAATAAACAAGGATACAATGAGCACCTTTATAACTAAATCTGCTTACCTTGGTAATTTCTTTATAATAAACATTTGGAAGCATAGATGTTAAATCAAGTAGTACATCAAATACATTTGCCAAGTTCCTATGAAGAAAGTCTATAATCAGTTTATATAAACTACCAACCATGCCTAAGAACTATACCACTGGTATTTAATGGCTAAAATGCATTTTTTATATTGAGTTTTAATACCATATAATAAAATGTATATTTAAAAATTGAACTTGTGAGGTTGACAAAAATATCACTAGAAGGCAAAAAAATTCATTTTTATGATGAATGATAGAATTCTTCCACCTCATAAGTTGAAGAAAACAGTTCTTGAATACTAATTTAAAATTCTGATGCAAAAAAAATTCTATTACACAAAATAAATTCTATCTATATCACTTTAATTTTATTACATATCCTTTTGAATCCTGGATTTTTTTATTAAAAAAACATACTGATAAGTATTTAAGGTTCAGTTTAGCTGCTTTCCTGACAAACATTAACTATTTCAGTTCTACCATTAACTAAGGTCACCTTATGCTTACCAAATGTTCTTTACTAAATAAACAAGTAAGATTTCCAAAACATTGACCTTTTTATACTGATATATTTTAAAGTTTTGAGTATGTTTTTATACAATAAACAATGCACACTTAAAGTGTACCATTTGATAAGTTTTGATAGAGTATTATTCTGTGAAAACATCATCAACATCAAGAAAATAATCATATTCATCATCCCTAAAAGTTTTCTCTTGTGTGTCCTTTCTATCTCTTTGGCAATAGCCCCCTCTCCCATTTCAGGCAACCACTTATCTGCTGTCATTATAGATTAGTTTGCATTTTCTAGAGTTTTACATATATGAAATCATGCATTATGTAGTCTTTTTTGTCTGGCTTCTTTTACTTGGCATAATTACTTTCAGATTCTTCCATGTTGTTTCCCATATAAATGTCTCACTCCATTAACTTATCACAATCTATCTTCAAGTGATATTGTAATACTTCACATATAACATAAGAAACTGACAACAGTGTAATTCTATTTTTTCCCTTCTGGTCTTTATCCTATCATTGTAATACAGTTTGCTTGTTCATATATATGAACTCCACATGATAATGAAATTATATCTGTTTAACAGTTGGTTATTTTTAAAGAAATTTTAAAAAGAAAAAGTATTTTATATTTACTCACATAGTTACCATTTCTGATGTTCTATATTCCTTTGTGTAGATCCGTATTTCCTTTTTGTATAATTTTCCATCTGCCTGAAAAACTTTCTTGAACATTTTTTATAGTATGGTTTTGCTGTGGATGATTTTTTTTTCTGATTTTGTATGTCTGAAAAAGTCTTTATTTCATCTTTGTGTTTGAAAACTATTTTCACTGGGCATAGAATTCTAAGTTGCCAGTATTTTTTCTTTTAGTACTTTAAAGATGTTGATCTGCTGTCTTCTCACATTTTTTTCTAATAAAAAAAATCTAGTTAATTATTTATCTTTGTCTTCCTGTGCATAGTATGTTCTTTTTCTTGGGCCCCTTTTAAGATGTTTCCCTTATGACTGCTTTTTTTTTTTTTAACTAGTTTAATTATAATATGCCTTGGTGTAGTTTTCTTCATGTTTCTTGTGCTTAGATTTCTTTGAGATTCTTGAATCCACAGGTTTATACTTTTCATATCTCTACCCCCACCCTCAACTTCAAGGATTTCAAATACACATATAATAGGCCACATAATTTGTCCTATAGCTCACTGATGCACTTTATTATGATGATTATCTCACTGTTTTATTTCAAATAGTACCATTTTTATGTCTTCAAGTTTACTAATCTTCTTCAATGTTAATCTTTCATTCACCCCTTCAAATGTATTTTTAGGTAAGAAATAATAGCTTTTATCTCTAGAAGTTTGATTTGGAGTTTTGTATAGAACGTTTCCTATCTCTACTTAGCTTTTTGAATATATGAAATCTAGTTATAACAACATGGATATCCTTGCCTGATCATTAAAACATGAGTAAGTTGGTTTTGAGTGGTTGATTTTTCTGCTTATAATGGATTGTGATTTCCTGCTTCTTTGCATACTGGTTAATCTTTGATCAGACTTGAGACATTGTAAATTTTACCTAGTTGGGTGGTTGATATATTGGTATTCCAAAAATATCCTTAAACTTTGGTTTTGGATGCAGTTATTAGAAAGAGTTTGAGTCATTCTATTCTTACATTTAAGATTTGCTATTTCAGAACCAGAAAATGTTGATCTAGGATGAATTATTTCCCACTAATGAAGCAAAACTTTCTGAATACTCTGCCCAGTTTTGAGTTTTTTCAACCTGGCTGTGATGTACAGGCACTATTACAGGTGCTGTATTAGTGCCAGGAACCATTTTCTCTAATCCTTATTTCCTAGGACTGGGGTATTTTTCTCACATGCATGCACTATTCAGTACTCTACTGAATACTTGAGAAGAACCATCTGCAGAACTCTGGAGTTATCTACGGGTGCAGCTTTCTCCATTCCTGAACTCTGTTCTGTGAACTCTTAACTATCTTGGTCCCCTAGATTCCCAACTCCATTTCCTCATTTTGGGGAGTCTAGCAGGCTCTGTCTCCCTTCTTTGCGCTATCACCTGGAAACTTCCTCACAGCAGTAAGCTGGGACAAACACTGGGCTCACTTTGTTTCCTATCTCAGGAATCCATATCCTTCATTTACTGTTTTCCAGTGTCTTTAAATCATTGTTTCAAATATGTTTTTCCAATATTTGAATGTTTCAGTCAGGAGGGTAATTCTAACCCTTACGACCCCATCTCTGCTGGAAGTAAAACATGTATACTAAATTTTTAAAAACTATTATTTACTTGGTGTAAATTTTTTACTTTCCAGGGATATTAGTTACATGAAATTAGGGAAAACATTGCAGAATCATCTTCACAATATATTGCTCTCATGTGTTACTCCCTGCTCAAGAACCTAAAGTGACTCTTATTTGCACTAAATTAAATATAAACACAAACACAAGCCAGTAATAGTAGTTATATAAAGGACTAAAACAGTGTTTTCATTGTTTACAGCTTTCTTATGCTCTAGTTTGACCTAAGAACACAGTTAATGTAGAGGAATGAATGGACTACAGGCCGTTATTCAATTATCCATGACTAATATTACTCTCAAGTAAATTTTTACAAGAATTTAAGAAGTTGCAGGTTATATTCCCTTAAAGCAACTTAGACTCCAGATGATCCATGTGGCAGATGAAAGAATATAAACCCCCAAAGTATAAAACTTAAGGACTCTAACCAATACATATGCCTAAATATTTGGCCATCTCACTTTAATACAGAATAAAAAATTGAGTCTAGTGCAAGTGTAAAACATCTTTCCTTGAGCATTTACAATGTGGATTAGGATTTTTTTTCCTCACAACCTTAGGATAAGTTTCTAGACCTATACCCTATTTCAAAACATATAAATATTGTTATAGAGTTATAAACTTCTGAAATTTTCACTTCTCTTAACAGTTTTCTAAAGAAAAGGACTTTTAAGTAACAAAGGCTTGCTGGAGGTTTGTTAACTTTCACAACATTTACATTAGAGAATACGAGACTATTAAAGAATTTTTTTAAGTACGTGGATTAGGCTGTTCAGGGAACATTTCAGAAAAAGACTTTCACCCTAAAAATCCATAGAGTTTTAGTAGACATGAAGCCATGAAGAGTGCCTCCACAAGTGCTAGCAAGAGCAAGCAGGCAAGAGAAAGAAAAGGCATCCAAATAGGAAGAAAAGCCAGATGATCTCTCTTAAATGGATGAAATGATTCTATATCTAGAAAACACTAAAGACTCCACCAGACACCTGCTAGACTTAATAAATGACTTCAGTAAAGTTTCAGGATACAAAATTAATGTACAAAAGTCAGTAGCATTTTAGAAATTCTCACAAAATCAAAGAGCTCCCCCTTTTAGCTTAAACTGAAATAAAATTTTCCTTTAAAGTTAAAAAAACAGTAGCATTTCTATTCACCACTAACATTTAAGCTGATAGCCAAATCAAGAATACAAATCATTTGCAATAGCTGCAAAAGAAATAAAATACGTACAAATACATCTAATTAAGGAGGTGAGAGATCTCTACAGGAAGACTCATAAAACACTGCTGAAAGAAATCATAGATGATACAAACAAATGGGAAAACAGTCCATGCTCATGGATTGGAAGAACCAATATCGTTAAAATGGCCATATGGCCCAAAGCAATCTAGAGATTCAATGCTATTCCTATCAACCTGCCTATGTCATTTTTCACAGAATTAGAAAAAAGTATTCTAAAATTCATATGTAACCAAAAAAGATCCTGAATAGCCAAAGCAATTCTAAGCAAAAATAACAAAGGTGGAGGCATCACATTACTCAGCCATAACCAAAACAGCATGTTACTGGTAGAAAAATAGGCACATAAATCAACAGATCAGATTAGAGAACCCCAAAATAAAGTCACACTCCTATAACCATCTGATCTTTGACCAAGTTGACAAAAATAAGCAATGAGGAAGGAACTGCCTATTGAATACATGGTGCTAGGATAGCTGGCTAGCCATAGGTAGAAGGATGAAACTGGACCTCTGCATTTCACCATAAACAAACGTTAACTCAAGAAGGATTAAACATTTAAATATAAGACTTCAAGCTGTAATAGTTCTAGAAGAATACCTGGGAAACATCATTCTGGCATCAACCTTGGGGAAAGAATTGATAACTAAGTCCTCAAAAAGCAATTATAACAAAAACAAAAAATTGGCAAGTGGGACCTAATTCTACTAAAGGGCTTCTGCACAGCAGAAGAAACTAACAACAGAGTCAACAGCCAGCATACAGAATGGGAGAAAATATTCACAAACTGTGCATCTGACAAAGGTCTAGTATCTAGAATCTGTAAGGAACTTAAACAACTGAAAAAACAAAAACCAAAATAATGCTATTTAAAAATGGGCTAACAACATGAACAGACATTTCTCAAAAGAAGACATATAAGTGGCCAACAAACATATGAAAAAATGTTCCTCATCACTAATCATTAGAGAAGTACAAATCAAAACCACAATGAGGTACCATCTCACACCAGTTAGAAAAGCTACCATTAAAAATTTATAAAACAAGGCCTGGCACAGTGGCTCACGCCTGTAATTACAGCACTTTGGGAGACCGAGGCAGGCAGATCACTTGAGGTAAGGAGTTCGAGACCAGCCTGGTCAACATGTTGAAACCCAATCTCTAATAGAAGTACAAAAAATTAGCTGAGTGTGGTGGCAGGAGCCTGTAATCCCAGCTACTTGGGAGGCTGAGGCAGAAGAATCGCTTGGACCGGGAGGCAGAGGTTGCAGTGAGCCAAGATCGTGCCATTGCACTCCAGCCTGGGCAACAAGAGTCAAACTCTGTCTCAAAATAAAAAAATAAATATTCAAAAAATAACACATGCTGACTAGGCTGTGGAGAAAAGGGAATGCTTATACATTGTTAGCGGGAATGTAAATTAGTTCAACCACTATGAAAAGCAGTTTGGTAAGGTCTCAAAGAACTTAATGTAGAATTATCATACAACCCAGCAATCCCATTACTGTGTATATATCCAAAATACCAAATCATTCTACCAAAAAGACACATGCACTCACATGTTCATTGCAGCACTATTCACAAATAGCAAAGATATGGAATTAAACTAGGTTCCCATTAGTGGTGGATTGGACACAGAAAATACGGTACATATACACCATGGAATAATAGGCAGCCATAAAAAAGATGAAAAACATGTCCTTTGTAGCAACATGAACTACTAGTGGGGTAGGTAGGGAGTGTGGCAAGGGTTGAAAAACTAACTGGTGGGTACTATTTTCAGTACCTGGGTGATGGGATGATTCATACCCCAAACCTTAGCATCACACATTTATCCAGGTAACACACTTGCACATGTGCTCCTTCAATACAAAATAAAAGTTGAACAAAAAGAGTGCTTCCACAAAAGTAAGATTGTTACAACCAGCATTATTTAGTTCTTTATGTACTATTTTTAGAGCTATGTTGTAATGGCTACTTCTTCATATGAAGCTACAGAGTTGTTTTATTATTCTTAGTAATTAGTAGGATATGTCTCTTTAATACAGTAGTGAAATCAGCAATCAATACCTTTGTATTGTATTGGTGTTGTACTGTATTGTATCAATACCAAAATTAGAAATCAATATCTTTCAATATGTCTGTGTGGATAAACTGTACTTGATGAACCCCACTAAAAATTACCATTAGCACATGTATCAGTTGGCTATTTCCATAGTAGTGCTGAGTAACAAACCACTCCTAAACTTCTTAGGGTCTTAAATTGACAATTATTTTATCCATGCCTACCAATCTGCAAGTTGGCTGTTGGTCAAATGATCTAGGCTGGATGTTCCTGGGCTTCATCCTAAGCTTCAGGTGGAGTTCAGGACTGTTCTACCTGCTTCAATTCCTCTTCTCTCACACTCTCTTTCTCTTTCTCATTAATGGGCTAAGAGAGGCAGAACAGATGAAATCTATTCAGTGGTGAAATATGTTACTTTCTCTACCACCAGAAAGATGTTTTTAGCAATGATGTTGATATGATGGTCTTCTAGGGCTGTGGGAATTTTTGCATCATTTTACCTGAGCATTTTCCATGCATCTTCAGCGTATCCTTGATTATATCTTTCTATGACTCCTAAGGCTTTGCCAAGAGACTGCAAATAAAACAGACCTTTTTTTTCCAAGAAGAAATACCTCAAACTTTATAGAATATAAGCAAATTTACCTCAAAATGTCTTATTTTAGGCCTGCAAATTTCAAGTATCTTCCAGAGATGTAAGCCATAGAAAAAAATATTCTTTTCTGATTTGGATGGAAAAATAAGAAACAGTAATAAGTAATAGTTTGGGGTGTTAGTGGCTTATCAATATCTGACTGAACTAATTAAGTAATCTGCCTTTAGTATTATTTAGTGCTATGAAAATCTCAAATAATTTATAAACCAAAGCACAATTATAACAGCATTACTGTTCACTCATTTGTCTCTAGCGATGTCATTAGTAAAAACTCTTTTCTTGAATTGCTATATCCTGGGTGGCAGAGGTTGCAGTGAGTCGAGAATGAGCCACTGCACTCCAACCCAGGTGACAGAGCAAGACTCCATCTCAAAAAACAACAAACAAACAAAAACAAAAACCTCTCTTCTTACAGGAATCAACATTATATTTGGATTCTTAATTGAGTGAGGTTTATTGGAACTGTTGTCTACTATTATAGTTTAATTTTAAATTGTCAATATAAACAATGCTATGAAAAATGTAGAAAATTTGAAGTCTTTTACATAGATGTGTTTTGTTATTTTTTTCCAAAATAAAGAACTGAAAACAGAAATTCTGGAAACTTGCCAACATATAAATTACCTACTCTCCAGTTCTAGCCTGTACCTTTTTCTATTGTTAAGGGATCTTATCTGCTACCCATGCAGGAAAGAAGACCTCCTTACTCCTACAATTGTGACTGCCACTTGAAAGTGATCTAAACTTTCTTGGAATCTGTAGTAGCCTCAGACTTTTGAATGACAGAAACTGAAAGGAGACCCTAGGTAGAAAACAAGGAGCCCTGGTGTTCCAGGGGATGGAAAGGCTCTATTCTGCTTAAGTCATCTCATTGTCCTACACAAATCCCCTGGTCCCTGCCCTTGTTAGAATTCCCTTATAAAATGATTTAGAATTCCTCCTAAGAGTGACTCTTGAAAACATATTTTTAACTATTCAGGGTCTATCATTCCCTCGTGATTGTTGTTTCCTTCTACATTTTGCCTCTTCCTGAGGGGAAACCATTGAAACTAGTGACTGTAGCATTTTATCTACAACTAGAGAGACTCAGACTTGTTCTAAAAATGTCAAATGTTTTTTGTTCAATGTTTCAGCATTGCAATAACATAAGTAAAATATTAGAGACTTAGGTTTTCTTCTTTCTGATATTACCGCATTTCCCAAAAGGTCTTTACATGAAGTTAGGATTTTATATGGCTATTGGGAATATCCCCACTGGATCTGATAGCCACGAATGTCAGTGTTTGTCTAGAACTGCAGTAATGTCTAAGCACTTATGACTTATACACATCCATGCATTCATTTATATTACATACATTTATTGAAGGTTCACTATGTTTCAGGCACTGGGACCACAGATGAAAAATCAGAATTACAAAGAAAAATATTTCTCCAGTTTTATAAGAAAAGAAATAGAGACAACATGGAAAGGAAGGAATAGAATGAACTAAGCTAACATATCAAACACACACACACACACACACACACACACACACACACACACACACACACCCCAAAGATCCTCCTGCTTTGAAACAGATGTGACTTTTTTGGCACCTGCCTCACCCAGTGCCCAGTACACTCTATTCTCCCATGTTAAGCAGCTCCTCTCTACCCTGTCACAGCATGAAGCATTCAGCTTGGCAACGCCTGTGGCCACTTGGTAAGTCACAACGCAGACCAAGTGGCTGAGATCTGCAGCAAAGGAAGTGGACAGTTCTCAGGCACATCAGCTAAATTGCTGTAGTTACATGTCTGTTAACACAATGCTCTTGATTCCTGTCTTGTGCTGATCACCTGGGAGGAATCAAAGCAATCAGCATTTTACTGCTAAAACATGCTGCCTGAAACTGTCATCATTTCACATTCTCAGGACACATCTTACAAAGGTACAAGTATTTAAATGGGGACCTTGAAGACCTATACTTGAAAAAGATAGTAATAGGTAAGCATTAGGTTTTCTTATGTACAATTTTTATGTTTATGAAGCTTTTTACCTTTTCAAATAAAAAAATCAGGATCTTTGCACTACTATCATATAGAATATATGTCAATTAAAATAGGAATACTGTATTAACACAAGTCTCAACATTATCTTTTGCTAGAAGGGAAATTAAGCACTTCACTCAAATACCCAAAGGTGAAATGACTTCAACTCATAAGTCACTTGGAAGAGCTCACTTAGGAACTCGAGAAAGGCATTTAATATTAAACTTAGAAGCACTTTCTCAGTGTGTGATGTTCCCCTTGCTGTGTCCAAGTGTTCTCATTGTTCAATTCCCACCTCTGAGTGAGAACATGTGGTGTTTGGTTTTTTGCTCTTGCGATAGTTTGCTGAGAATGATGGTTTCCAGCTTCATCCACGTCCCTACAAAGGACATGAACTCATCCGTTTTTATGGCTGCACAGTATTCCATGGTGTATATGTGCCACATTTTCTTAATCCAGTCTATCATTGATGGACATTTGGGTTGGTTCCAAGTCTTTGCTATTGTGAATAGTGCTGCCATGGGGTGGGGGGAGGGGGGAGGGAAAACATTAGGAGATATACCTAATGTAAATGACAAGTTAATGGGTGCTGCACACCAACATGGCACATGTATACATATGTAACAAACCTGCACATTGTGCACATGTACCCTAGAACTTAAAGTATAATAAAAAAAGAGAAGCATTTTCTCAAGAATAAATCACTAATAGGAATCCTTCCTTCCATCACATTGGATTACTTTTTACATATTAGTGCAATGCTCTCAATTCTTTTTGCTTTGACTTTTCAAATGCTTTGACTTTTCAAATTTGACATTACTAATTACTCAAATTAGTAATGCAGCATTATTCACCTCTGACTGATATCCCACCAAGTCAAGAAGTGAATCAAATTTCAGGTATTATTGATATAGTAAACACAAGTTAATCATAATGGTATGATGGAGAACTGGGGACCTGAAGTAACCACCTTTTATTCATCATTTTTGTAAAAACATCGTTTAACCTAGGGCTGTATCTCGAACTTCTGTACAAAGTCAATTTTAAAACTGCACTGTATTTCTCCAGAGAACTTGCAGTCCAAACATATGCCAAGATCCTCAGGGAGAGTTTAAACCATTTTAGAACATTACTAAAAATTTAGAGGATGGCAATTGTTAAGATGAAACAGTTTGGTTGTTAAGATGAAACATTTTGAAGATTAATTTTTTTCCTCCTCCTCATCATCTGATGATCTGATGTCACATAGAGTTAGTCCAAAGGAAAAAAAAAATCGGAGAACGTAACTTTATGTGCACTCAACACATGTACTTTATTAAGAAAGTAAATCATAAAACTTGCAAATTTCTTAAAGCCCTAAATCAATCAAGGGAAAAGAAACAAATGATTATCTTAAATTTGAATCTCTTAATAACATTTCTAATTTTTGAAAGAATGGCATTATATCATCTACTGCTGACTCTCTGTTACACTCAAAAAATGTATAATGCCATCATGATTAAAATATATTTATTGGTTATCAATTTACATAAAATGCTACCATGGGCACTGGATAAAAATAACTACTCGGGCAGTTTACTATCAGAACTGATGACACTTACTTGAAGGAATCAGTCTTTGTTATGTGGCACAATAACTAAAAAGGAGCATATACTAAAATATGATCATGAACTCATTTAAAGATGAATGATACAATTGTGGGAGTTATAAAAAGTTTCACTGAAGACGAGTAGAAGTGTAAGGACACGGAAGGTGTCAGCTCTCCTCTGATCACTACACACAAAGACTTCCTGGAAGATATAGGTCTTCCAAAGACATCAGTTTGAAGCAAGGTGACAAAGTGGTGTTCTCTATGATTACAGATTATAGGATTGCCTAGCAGAACGCTGGAAGTGGAAGTGGGATGGCAGAATGGAGGACATCTGGGAGGTCGTAGCTGAAGTTATGGGAAGGGGTGCATAGCAAAACAGACAATGAAGCTGAAGCAGGTGACTAGAATAATTTGAGAGCTTACCACCAAATTTATAGCTTTCCCTGAGTCCCAAGGCCAAAGATAAGTCAAACTTACTCTTAGTTTTAAATCAAGAAACAGAATTAAAATAATATAAATAAAAAATACATCTGAGAATTAGATATATAGACAGTTGTTCTTCCAAAACCATAAAATTTAGTGTGGAAAACATACAAACTACAGGCAGAACAGTGATTAATATATGAGGTATAAAGAGTAATTCTAATAAAATAGAAAAATGTAAAAGATTAAAATGCTAATTTTGCACTTATTATTCAGTATTTCCACTTGAAAGTGAAAAAGGTCAAAATTAGTTATGATAGCAAAACAGAAAACATTTGTTGGTTTGGTCATTTATAATTCTATATAATACCACTCCTAAATATTGACAGTAGATGCTAAACTAAAACAGCAGCCAAATCTAATAGACAAGTCTCTATTAATTTAAATGAACTACTCATTCTGGGTTTTTAATTAATATGTAATATTAGTGCATATTTTTTAGTTACAAGTGATAGTTTGATACCTGTATACAATGTATAATGATCAAATCTGGGTAATTAGGATATCCATCACCTCAGACATTTATCTTTTCTTTGTATTAGGAACATTAGGCCTTTTATCTTCTAGCTGTTTTTAAATATACAATAAGTTATTATCTATAATTTTCATACTATGCTATTAAATACTAGAAGTCATTCCTTCTAGCTAACTATAATGTTGTACCTATTAACCAACAGCTCTTTATCTCTGCCTCCCTACTACCCTTCTAAGCCTCTGGTAACCATCATTCTACTCCTTATCGCTATGAGTTCAAATTTTTTCTTTTTTTTTTAGCTCCCATATATGAGCAAGAACATGAGATATTTGTCTTTCTATGCCTGGTTTATTTCACTTAACATAATGTCCTCCAGTTTCATCCTTGCTGTAGCAAATGACAGGATACAATTCTTTTTTCTGGCTGAATATTTCATTACATATATATATATATACACATATATATATATATATACACATACACACAATATACACACACACACAAACACACACAATATACACAAGTGTTTATGTATATATACACACTATATATATCACACTTTCTTTAACCATTCACATGAACAGTTAGGTCAATTCCATATTTCGGCTATTGTGAATAGTGCTTCAATAAAACATGAGAATGCAGATATCTCTTTGACATACTGATTTTCTTTCTTTTGGATATATATTCAGTAGTAGGATTGGTGGATTATTTGGTAGCTCTATTTTTAGTTTTTTAAGGAACCTCCAGACATGTCTTCCATAATAGCTACACTACTTTACATTTCTACCAACAATGTATAAGCCTTAGTTTTTTCTCCTAATCCTCACCAGAATTGCTATTTTTTGTCTTTTTGATGATAGCTATCCCAACTAGTTAATAATATCTTATTGTGGTTTTGATTGGCATTTTTCTGATGATTAGTGATGTTGAGCATTTTTTCATATACCTGTTGGCCATTTGTATGTCTTCTTTTGAGAAATGTCTATTCAGGTCTTTTGTCCATCTTTAAATCAAAAAATTTCTTTTGTTATTGAGCTACTTGAGTTCCTTATATATTCTGGCAACTAATCCCTGTCAGATGGATGGTTTGCAAATATTTTTTTGTAAAATTCTGTAGGATGTCTCTTCACTTTATTGTTTCTTTGCTATGTGGAAGATTTTTAGCTTGACATAATCCCATTTGTCTACTTGTGCTTTTGTTGAGTGTGCTTTTGAGGTCTTATCAAAAATATGTTTGTCCAAACCAATGTCCTGGAGAGTTTCCCCCATGTTTTCTCCTAATCGTTTCATAGTTTCAGGTCTTATATTTAAGTTTTTAATCCATTCTGAGTTGATTTTTATATATGGTGAAAATGAAAATCTAATTTCCTTCTTCTTTATATAGGTATCCAGTTTTCCCAGCAAGTTTTAAGAGACTGTCCTTTCTCCAGTGTATGTTCTTAATGCCTTTGTCAAAAATGAGTTGACTGCAAGTGTGTGGATTTATTTCTGGCTTCCATGTTGGTTTATCTCCCCTTTATCAACATATTCAGTTTGTAGTGCACTTTTCCAGTCAACAGATATTTTGTATTTGAGAAATAATCAGCCTTCTACTGTATACAGATTATTTTTAGGGCAACAAAAGACAAAGGAAAAAAATCAGGTCATCTCTATTAGATACCTAAAAAAAAAATTAATTTTTCATGACACATTCCGTAATTCCTTTCCTTTCTATAGTTTTCTCTCATATATGCATATACACACACTGAATAATTTAAAAAACCAAGTCAATATCCAGGAATTGAACTCAGCTCTGCACCAAGCAGACCTAATAGACATCTACAGAACTCTGCACCCCAAATCAACAGAATATACATTTTTTTCAGCACCACACCACACCTATTCCAAAATTGACCACATACTTGGAAGTAAAGCACTCCTCAGCAAATGTAAAAGAACAGAAATTGTAACAAACTGTGTCTCAGACCACAGTGCAATCAAACAAGAACTCAGAATTAAGAAACTCACTCAAAACCGCTCAACTACATGGAAACTGAACAACCTGCTTCTGAATGACTAGTGGCTACATAACAAAATGAAGGCAGAAATAAAGATGTTCTTTGAAACCAACGAGAACAAAGACACAACATACCAGAATCTCTGGGACACATTCAAAGCAGTGTGTAGAGGGAAATTTATAGCACTAGAGCAGGAAAGATCTAAAATTGACACCCTAACATCACGATTAAAAGAACTAGAGAAGCAAGAGCAAACACATTCAAAAGCTAGCAGAAGGCAAGAAATAACTAAGATCAGAGCAGAACTGAAGGAAATAGAGACACAAAAAACCCTTCAAAAAATCAGTGAATCCAGGAGCTGGTTTTTTGAAAAGATTAACAAAATTGATAGACCGCTAGCCAGACTAATAAAGAAGAAAAGAAAGAAGAATCAAATACACACAATAAAAAATGATAAAGGGGATATCACCACCTATCCCACAGAAATACAGACTACCATCAGAGAATACTATAAACACCTCTACGCAAATAAACTAGAAAATCTAGAAGAAATGGATAAATTCCTCAACACATATACCCTCCCAAGACTAAACCAGGAAGAAGTTGAATCTCTGAGTAGACCAATAACAGGCTCTGAAATTGAAGCAATAGTTAATAGCTTACCAACCAAAAAAAGTCCAGGACCAGATGGATTCACAGCTGAATTCTACCAGAGGTACAAGGAGGAGCTGGTACCATTCCTTCTGAAACTATTCCAATCAATAGAAAAAGAGGGAATCCTCCCTAACTCATATTATGAGGCCAGCATCATCCTGATACCAAAGCCTGGCAGAGACACAACAAAAAAAGAGAATTTTAGACCAATATCCCTGATGAACGTTGATGCAAAAATACTCAATAAAATACTGGCAAACTGAATCCAGCAGCACATCAAAAAGCTTATCCACCATGATCAAGTGGGCTTCATCCCTGGGATGCAAGGCTGGTTGAACACACGCACATCAATAAACATAATCCAGCATATAAACAGAACCAATGACAAAAACCGCAGGATTATCTCAATAGATGCAGAAAAGGCCTTTGACAAAATTCAACAACCTTCATGCTAAAAACTCTCTATAAATTAGGTATTGATGGGATGTATCTGAAAATAATAAGAGCTATCTATGACAAACCCACAGCCAATATCATACTGAATGGGCAAAAACTGGAAGCATTCCCTTTGAAAACTGGCACAAGACACAGATGCCCTCTCTCACCACTCCTATTCAACACAGTGTTGGAAGTTCTGGCCAGGGCAATCAGGCAGGAGAAAGAAATAAAGGGTGTTCAATTAGGAAAAGACGAAGTCAAACTGACCCTGTTTGCAGATGACATGATTGTATATCTAGAAAACCCCACTGTCTCAGCCCAAAATCTCCTTAAGCTGATAAGCAACTTCAGCAAAGTCTCAGGATACAAAATCAATGTGCAAAAATCACAAGCATTCTTATACACCAATAAGAGACAAACAGAGAGCCAAATCATGAGTGACCTCCCATTCACAATTGCTTCAAAGAGAATAAAATACATAGGAATCCATCTTACAAGGGATGTGAAGGACCTCTTCAAGGAGAACTACAAACCACTGCTCAATGAAATAAAAGAGGATACAAACAAATGGACGAACATTGTATGCTCATGTGTAGGAAGAATCAATATCGTGAAAATGGCCATACTGCCCAACATAATTTATAGATTCAATGCCATCCCCATCAAGCTACCAATGACTTTCTTCACAGAATTGGAAATAACTACTTTAAAGTTCATATGGAACCAAAAAAGAGCCCGCATGGCCGAGTCAATCCTAAGCCAAAGGAACAAAGCTGGAGGCATCACGCTACCTGACTTCAAACTATACTACAAGGCTACAGTAACCAAAACAGCATGGTACTGGTACAAAAACAGAGATATAGACCAATGGAACAGAACAGAGCTCTCAGAAATAATGCCACATATCTACAACTATCTGATCTTTGACAAACCTGACAAAAACAAGAAATGGGGAAAGGAATCCCTATTTAATAAACGGTGCTGGGAAAACTGGCTAGCCATATGCAGAAAGCTGAAACTGGATCCCTTCCTTACACCTTATACAAAAATTAATTCAAGATGGATTAAAGACTTACATGTTAGACCTAAAACCATAAAAACCCTAGAACAAAACCTAGGTAATACCATTCAGGACATAGGCATGGGCAAGGACTTCATGTCTAAAACACCAAAAGCAATGGCAACAAAAGCCAAAATTGACAAATGGGATCTAATTAAACTAAAGAGCTTCTGCACAGCAAAAGAAACTACCATCAGAGTGAACAGGCAACCTACAGAATGGGAGAAAATTTTTGCGATCTACTCATCTGACAAAGGGCTAATATCCAGAATCTACAATGAACTCAAACAAATTTACAAGAAAAAAACAACCCCATTTGCAAGTGTGTGAAGGATATGAACAGACACTTCTCAAAAGAAGACATTTATGCAGCCAAAAGACACATGAAAAAATGCTCATCATCACTGGCCATCAGAGAAATGCAAATCAAAACCACAATGAGATACCATCTCACACCAGTTAGAATGGTGATCACTAAAAGTCAGGAAACAAAAGGTGCTGGAGAGGATGTGGAGAAATAGGAACACTTTTACACTGTTGGTGGGACTGTAAACTAGTTTGACCATTGTGGAAGACAGTGTGGCAATTCCTGAGAGATCTAGAACTATAAATACCATTTGACCCAGCCATCCCATTACTGGGTATATACCCAAAGGATTATAAATCATGCTGCTATAAAGACACACGCACACGTATATTTATTGCGGCAGAATTCACAATAGCAAAGACTTGGAACCAACCCAAATGTCCAATAATGATAGAGTGGATTTAGAAAATGTGGCACATATACACCGTGGAATAGTATGCAGCCATAAAAAATGATGAGTTCATGTCCTTTGTAGGGACATGGATGAAGCTGGAAACCATCATTCTCAGCAAACTATCGCAAGGACAAAAAACCAAACACTGCATGTTCTCACTCATAGGTGGGAACTGAACAATGAGAACGCATGGACACAGGAAGGGGAACATCACACACCGGGGCCTGTTGTGGGGTGTGGGGAGGGGGGAAGGATAGCATTAGGAGATATACCTAACGTTAAATGACGAGTTAATGGGTGCAGCACACCAGCATGGCACATGTACACATATGTAACAAACCTGCACGTTGTGCACATGTACCCTAAAACTTAAATAATAAAAAAAAGTCAAATTGGTTATCTTAAATTGCAGAACAACTCATTACAAAGAGTTACAACACTCTCCTCTTTTATTCAAGTGTTTTTGAAATAGATAAAAAATGTCAACTGGTTTGATCATGAGAAAGGAAGACAAAACAACAAAAAAATTTTAAAAAGGAAAAATTCTGACAATATGAATTTATTTGTTTTCAATTAATGTGCATTATAAAGCTGTTTATTTAGAGGACTTGCTACATATTAACTTTTCTGAAGTCATGAGTAAAAATGTGAACCATAGTTGAGAAATAGTCACTCCTCAAATTAAAGATTTTGGGGAGGGGGTAGATAAACCTAATGAATGAAACATACGTTACCATTTGAAAAATACTAAGGTGTGTTTGTTGTTTGTATAAATAAACAATAAAATACAAAAGGAGTGTAGGTCGTATGCCTAAGGCAGTGAAACAAGGTAAAGAGTGGTGTTCTGGGAACTGCTAGTAATATGAATGGTGTGAATGCTGAAGTCAGGAAATATTTGCACTGCCTTTTCCTATTCCCCTTTTCTTTTAGTCTTTGATGGATATACAATAATTATATTTTATAAGAATGCCAGTGGTGACGGAAGTGCTTCTCCTAATGCAGAGGCTGTAAAGCTATCAGAAGAGCTTTAAGCAAATGTTATCTGTTTTACAGAAGAAATCAATTACCTGCAGATTGCTTAAACCAGTGACAGGCATGGTAAGGAATAAAATGTGTTAAGTAGAAAAGTTACAGCCATCAACATGTAAGGAATTACATGATATATGAAAGCAATCACTTGTTCAATTTACCTTCAAAACTAAAACAAGTTCTTTGGCATTGGAAATAAGCATGAACCTCTCTCTGAAAAGGGAACAATTTCTAACTCAATGGAAAAAGTACTGTATAAATTTTAGCCAGCAATAGTGTTATTAGGAGCATACAACCACGTCTTCAGAGATAAAGTATGTGAACTATTTAACATACTTATATCAAAGTAGGCATCAGTTTGTCTTCATCTTCCTGCAGTTCAGCATTATGTAATTTTCCATATATGCTTGGAATAAAAGGAGTCTGCCAGAAAATGCTCTATACTTTATAACATGCCTTATATTCATATCAAACTGCAAATAATTTTACTACTCCATTAAAACTATCCTAATATATTTAAGTTCTAATATTGTTATCTGTTGATAACACACATTTTATTATTATTAGCAGAAACAAATCCAGAAGTGGACCTTTTTCTTCTGCTTAAAGAAGAGAAATAAATGTATCAAAGAAGCCCTGACAGTTCTAATGCAGGACATCATGCTTCAGATACTCATCAAAACTGTTACTCAGGTGGAGTTGACATCTTGCTCATGAAACAAGGTCACAATTTTTAGTTCTTTTTCCTATCAGTTATTCAGGAATTTTTGCATCATATAAATGAAATTTTAAAATGAATTAATTCAAATCACATGTAACATAAAAAAGTGATTTCTTAATATTGCAAAAACAGAATCATTTTACTAGATGTGCTATTAGAGACATCACAACATAACCATCATATTTCCGTGAGTGTCACTGTGTGCAATGACAGCCATGATGAGAGATACCTGCCTAATGAAGAACTTATGTTTTTCTTTTTACTTTCTTCTTTTTTTAAAACTGAGAAGTGTTTAGAAGAATTTGATCACATGATCTTTTAATAGAATCAGAAGTAATATACCAGCTGGTGCATATCATTCTTTCATGATATTCTAAGGGAGAGTTCTATTCTGATTTAATTTTCTTGGGAATAAAATATGTATATTCAGATTTCATGCAAGTCAATTGTCCTTAATGGACAAATGCTAATGATAAATTTAAAGTACAACATTTTTGTAACATTTGTAAGTTAAAAATTTTAAGAAGAGTCATACTAGTCATTTTTTATCCACACTAACACAGAAAACAATATTGTGAAAATTCCCAAATGAAAGACATTGCTATCGCTTTTTCCTCTGCAAGATTATCAGGTTGATATAATGACGTCCTACTGATTATTCACCACAGACCTTCCAGCAGGATAATGCATTCTTAAAATATGAACTTGAAACTAAAATATTAAATATGCATTTCCTCCTCCTATAGGACATGTTGAAATGCCACATGCTGTTGGTGAGAATGACCCATAAGTGTTGGATTTTCTCCCCCTTGCTCTTCTTTTCCAGAAACAGTTAGTGCGGCGTGCAGTGAACCAAATCAACAATGTGATTCAAGCTGTCTCCGTAGCTTCTTGGCAAAAGAAAGATAAACTATAAAAACTCCCCTCCTACAGCTTTCAGCTCTTGCTTCCCACACTTTAACATCTTCTGTCACCTCTGGCGCTGTTAGTGACCCATGCTAAGCTAAACTAAAGGATGATAAGTTTGCTGCCTCTGCCCTTGTCCTGAGGGGCTGCACATTATCCTATCAAGTATCAGTAGCCATTTCTGTGGGATATTTGTCACCCCACGAAGGCCTTTGGAACAAATGAAATGGGCAGCGAATTACAAAAATGTCATTCTCTAAAGGAAATGGATGAAGGCTTTTGTTCTCCAGTAATAAATAGATGCCATAGGCTTATAACACTATTTTTATATTAAATTTGACAGGGTTACTATTTCTAGCTCATTACGGGAACAGCTTGAAAACTATTTCTTTCTGTACTTTAAAAAATAATGCTGCTTCCCTCTTTTCTTCCTAGTAATAAATATAAACAGTATCTGGCAATAGATACTGGAAATCATAGATCATGATTAATTTGAAGTAACTTTTGCTAATGTTTGTTTTAAAAACATACAAAAACCATTTTTAGGGAGAGATTTTGGACTATAAATGAATTATGTAAGAGGTACCTATTAATGCATTTTAAAAGTCTGATTTATATGTATTCCTTCTTTCTTTGTAAATCACAAATATATTACTTCCTTTTCTCACTTTTCTCACACATTATGGTTTTACAGGGCACTGTGATAAATATGCCATAGACAAAGGTCAAGCAAAGGATAATAACTCAATTCCTTAAATGAAAGCTTCGAAGTAAATCCTCTGTGTTTAACAGCAGTATACAGGGGTCAAGATGACAATGTCCCAGACTTGAGAATAAAATGTGTGTTAATATCTTTGAGCATCAGTACATTTGTTAAATGGGTATACTTGGACTGACATACTTAGGTTTTCTTTGAAGTAGAACTTTAGCGAGATACCTAATTCATGATAATAAATTAAATACCACCACATATTTTTAAATAGACTTAGATTGTGTAGTTTATCAGGTTGAACTGAGTATTTTCATGGTAATTATAAACTATTCCCAATAAAATAGGCATCTTTCTTCTACAGCTTTACCTACACAATGATTTTGGAATTGAGCTACCTTTTACTTACTACACTTATTTTGCTAAATAAAATTTGTAAAATAAAGTATTAAAAATAATTCATTGGAATTTTTCAGTGATAGTTAATTTGGCCCAATAATGTATTGATGAAGACTGTTAATAGTTGTGAAAATTATTTAATAGTGAAACAAATGATCTAGACTCAGATTTTCTGATTTTACATCTTAATCATAGCATCTGGGTTGACATAATGTTGAATGTCTTAAGTTTAGTCAGTATATATGTCCATATTTTTACAGAATTGATTAGCAAAAAGAGTAAAAACTGGTCAAACCAATTCTAATTTTCAATTTTTTAATTTTTCTTTG
Source organism: Homo sapiens (assembly GCF_000001405.40). Lineage (NCBI taxonomy): Eukaryota > Metazoa > Chordata > Mammalia > Primates > Hominidae > Homo > Homo sapiens. The sequence goes on along the minus strand of NC_000006.12, from coordinate 98,055,748 downwards.
CTTCTTAACATGAGAATGCATGCCTAGCTTTGTGAACTCTCTGATTGTATAAGCTGCGATAAAGGCACTAAGGAAGCCGAAAGTTCTACAAAAAATGTCAAAGCATGTCAGTCCACATCTATCCCTTTAACACATGTATTGAGGCTCAAGGGTAATAATGTACATTTTAATTTTTAGCCAGATCACTGTCATCTTGACTCCTGTATACTGCTGTGAGCTACCCAATACCCATCCTCTAGTGTCTTACTTCTGACAAATGAGTCTCCATTTCTTGAACTAAGAACTCTTTATCCTTAAACATTTAACTTCCTTGGCCAAAGCTAGTTAGTGATTCTTCCATAATAAGAGAGGGGAACGTGTTTGAAAAATACATAGGAAGAAAACTATAAGAACAATATCTATTTTGAAGAATGAACTTTTCTCAAAAAATGAAGTCTAAAAAAGAAAACCCCATTTTTCTTTGCAAGTGGAAAATGATGACTGGTGTTCTCCATGTTTATGTCACACGTATAACTGCTAAGTCAAATATGGTAGATTAAAAAGACTTTCATTAATTGAAAAATTATTAAAACATTTTAGTTGGTTATCCAGAAAGTTGGAGTGATTTCTTTTCTGTTGATCTTTAAAAACAGAGTAGACTTCATTCTATATTATTTTATATGTGCTGTCTCATCCACAAGAAATGAAATGTAGAGTATATATGATCATTTTGTCATCTGAATACTTATCTAAAATTTGGCTTCTATGTTTACTTCACTTTTCAATTCAAGATATTTCTCAAAGGCCACCAGTTTTCTCTTATCCCATGTAAAGAACATTTTTAAATAAATTGATTTTTATCTCCTTGATTTGTATTCTTTAACGTAATCAACAGGTTTAAAACTGAGCTTCTTATTTCCCAAAATATCTTCCTCCTGATTTCCTCATTGTTACACCCTAGGAGGCAGTAAACAGAAACCCAGAGCACATAAGTGGTGTTGTGGGAAAGACCATAGGAAAGAATGCTATACTTTCTTCTAAGAAAAAAAAAGAAATGACAATAAGCAAAAAGAAATGAGTTTCCCCACCTACTGGTGAAACTGAAGATTGTTCAGCCACATTTGAGACAAGGACTTCATTTCAGAGTAAAAAATCAGATATGAAACTGTATAGACCAGCAAGATATGAAACTGTACAGACCAGCAACCACTTGACAGCCTGTGGAGCCTATAAGAGCAGAGAGAAGGGCCAAAAGCGTATGGCGGCTGCAAAGCCATATGGTGGCCTAATGAAAGACTTTCTATATCCAGGGCTTTCTTTATCTAGTTGACTGGTTGATGGGCACCCAGGATTAGCAGAACAGGGTGGGGACTAGGAGCAGTTCAGTGTATTTTAGCAGTTCTTTGATAAGTTAATGAATTAGTGATCTTTTTGTGAATTAAATAAGTTACTCTGAGATAAGAGAACCTGTCTTTATATGCCATGTTTTATGGCAGAGAGGGCAGAAAAAGTTACAATATAGCAATCTGGGAATGTTTTACAAAATGAATCACTTGGAAAACTTATTTTTATTAGTGTCAGATCATTTACATCAGAGACACTTGTGGCACTTGAACATTTAATATGACTAAATCTAGCTAATTATTCTTCAATATATGAGAAGAGGAAATATATGGAAAACATAAAAAGAAAACAATAATTTAGAGTTTGAAGAACTAAATTTCCTAGAATAATCGAGTCTAAAGAAAAAATATAATTTTTCTTGTTCTTCTTTTTAACAAATGAGAAGAATAGCAGGTTAAATTAGACTTTCTTTCATAAAACAGCTATTAAAACATTGTAGAAATTTTCTCTAAGTTTGAGTAACTTCCTTTTATGTTGATCCTTAAAAGTAGAATAAACTGTATCCTATTTAGTAAATTCTCTTCTGTCTCATTATGCACACTTCCCCTTTCAGCTCCTGTGTAGTCAGTTAGCTAGTCTTCTTAATTTAGATTTTTCAATATTTCTAGTATCCATACATAATTTTAAATTTCTATCACTTTTATTCTAGCTTAGGTCCTCAGTCTCTTTCTTTCTTAAATAGATTGCTTCCAAAAAAAAAAGACATCCAAAAGTGTTAGGCTCACCTCCACTCTCTCTCCACTCCTACTGTGCAGCATTATAAATGAGTCTTCATAAATTCTCCCCCACCCAACAAGCCTCAAAACAGTATAGTATGACATTCAGACTACTGCATCTCTCATGATCTTGGTGAACTTGGCCAGGTTGCTTAATATCTCCAATACTTTGTTTATTCAGAAAAGCAGGAGAGGCTGGGTGCAGTGGCTCACATCTATAATCCCAGCACTTTGAGAGACTGAGGCGGTTGGATCACCTGAGGTCAGGAATTCAAGATCAGCCTGGCCAACATGGTGAAACCCAGTCTCTACTAAAAATACAAAAATTAGCCAGGTGTGGTGGTATGCACCTGTAGGCCCAGCTACTTGGAAGGCTGAGGCAGGAGAATTGCTTGAGTCCGGGAGGCGGAGGTTGGAATGAGCCTAGCTCATGCCACTGCACTCCAGCCTGGGCAACAGAGCGAGACTCTATCTAAGAAACAAAACCAAAACAAAAATGCAGGAGTAATAATATAATAAATAGTACTTCCTTCAAACTCTTGATATTTTGAAAGTACTTACATTTTTTGTAAAACAAATTCCAAGCTTTTGGTCATAGTATGTGCCCTTCCAAGACAGAGACTTTTGGTAGATGTGTTACCTAACAACACCTAAACAATATGAAATGCAAAATATGTTATCTGTGGAATATGTTGACATTTAGAACATGTATTCAATATTATTTAAAAACTTTTATTTCTAAAATGATTTATTTTTCTTTAAAATCATTGTATACACTAGCTTTATCACTTTATATTTATATGCATATGTTATATAAGTGGTTTGAAAGTATAAGTGGTTTAAAAATCATGTACATTGGAATGGATCTAGGTGACTTCTTTCTATACACTGTTTTCTAAAAAGATGGAACTAACAGGTGTTTATGGAATCTGGGAACCGTTTTAACTAAGACATTCAAGAATTAGTGAGATACTCTAAACACAGCTACTTTAAATGCCTTTTTTTATAGCAACATCAGTATCATTTTCGTTAAGAACACTGTAACTACTGCATTTACTCATTCCTGGGGAATAATCATGAAGGTTGATTTTTATTGTCATCTTAATTTTCAGATGATAATATTAAAGTGGAACCACAAACTAATGCTGTTAATAACATCTAGTAAAATGAAATGTCGTTTAAACCCATAATGCACAATTTTAAAAGGGAAGCAAACTACTGATTTTAAATGGTAGGGCATGTATTGATAAAAGTTGGCTCAAATGACTAATCTTTTTAAAGTTTACTTTCCAAATATAACTTTCAGCTTCCACACAGCAGCTATCATTCGTTAAAATTGCTTTGCAAGATCAGCCATGAAATGTGTATTATATATACATTTAATATAAACAGAATTCTTCAAGTCATAATATATTAATTAGCTACATGATAGAGCAAGGCATGATTAGATTACTTATCGAACTAATTTAATTTGTACAGTAGCAGCTAATTTAAAGGAAGCATTCTGTTTTCAAGCTTGTTTTTAGAAATTGTTATGTAAAAATTATTAATCTGGGATTTGAAAACAATCTTTCTCCCTCTCTTTCGGAAAGATAATTTGTGATAGAGTACTTCTATATTTGGTAGCTAGAGACAGAAATTTTTTTAAGGATAAGAATAAACTAGATGATGAAAAACCTTTGGAATAAAGTGAATCCTACTTCCTAAGATTAGCATCAGATTTTTATCTCTTTATACGCTTTTCAGGATCTTTTTGAAATCAATGGGAGATCTATCCATTAGGGTGGGAGAAAATACACATAAAGTGTGTTGCTGAGATACACTCAGAACAAATAAATGGAAACTAAATCCCACTTCCCACAGCCAAACATGTTTGTTTCTATACTCATCTATCCCTAAGAAGCAAATATTCCACTGGGTCCTAAGAAGCAGATCAGAGACAGAGTAAAGTAATAAAGGTCCTTGATCCAAATAGCAAAGTGGGCCTAAACTTAACTATTACACATAAAGACAGGGTGGAAAAAGTATTTACCAGATTACTAATACATTTTGAGACTGATGTAAAAATGGCCATGAAGAGGCTCACTGAAAAGAACACATAACCCAATTGCTTTAATGCTGACAGATAAGGAACAAAACTTTGTCACATAAGAGAGCTCCAACTGAAGATAAAACTATTCCACAGTTGTTACAGATATATTTTACAACATGTCTAATCAAATAATAATATCCAAAATCCAAATATTTCAGTGAGTTCAGCAGTGGAAGTGAACAGTAAAAGAAATAGAAGGAAATATGAAACCTCTTCTTCATTAAAATTTAGTTATAGATGCATAAGGTAAAATATATTCCAATTCAACAAGCATTATTGTCCTCACCAATCCGTGATCACCCTGTTACTGGTATGGCTCTCATATTCTAACCATAAATGATTCAGGAATAAACACATTTGTTGATCACTTTTATCAAACAGACATTTGCCCAATTAGAAGCCATGCTGTCCACATGATATGTGTACCTTGAATAGTTCTCCAATGAAGAAACCAGTATATAATAACTGTACAGGCAAAGCTCTGAGCCACATTTCAGTTATCAGAGATTTATTATTTTGTGCCAGGAATTATTCAGCCTCAATTACATCCTATGTGGTTAGTATACTTCTTCACCAAACAAAATCACCAAAATTTACCTATGAAAACATCAGTTTCTAATGTATAAGATTCCCACTGATGATTTTAGCCAAAGGTATAAAACCACTGGCCACTCAATCCCATATAACTCATAATATAAGCATAGGTGTATTCTTCTCAGACAAGAATTTCAGTTCACATATTCAGGAATGGTGAAATGTATTAATTATGTTCTGGTTTAAATTTTTATTCTCTTAAGTAAAAAATTATGCCTTAAGGGCCTCAATTTAATAGAAACTATTTAAGCTTCACATATACATATGTTTTTCCTTCTGTGTTTTGTGTTTCATACTACAATAAAGAAAAACAAAATACTTTAGAATTAATTTAACAAATAAAAGGATAAAGCCCTGAAATTTAAGTAGAAACACTGTCACTGCTTTATGTTTTTTTTTTTTTTTTCTTGCTGGAGTTACTATTTCAAGTTCACACTTTGATGTTGAAGTACAGAAACTATTTAGCTTAAAGTAAAATGATTAAAGTAATTAATAATATGGAATTGGTATAATTAATGTGAACAAAAAAACGCTGATATTCTCATGTGATTTGTAAAACAAACAGACTTTACTGATAATTTCAAAAGAAGCTATTTCAGAATGTTTTGGAAAACTGCAGAATCCCTAAAATGATCATGTATCTATGCAAAGTGGTGGCTCAGATCTACAAGTTTAAATTTAAAATAGGACATTATTGTTACCCTCACACACATATTTTGATATTTAATAATTTAAGATTGCATTTTCTTCCATATTCTTTTAACAGACCACAGGTCTCTTGTTTGTTTTTCTATTATCTCATATGTGTTAGTAGGTGAATCACATAAGAAGAAATTTATTTCTCCTTCACCTGTTTATATCTAGAGGAAAATGATAAGGTAAAAGCAAGGAGTAAAATAGAAGAAAGGAAAAAAATGTGTGTGTTGTGAATAAAGAAGAAAATAAAAATATAAGCAAGAAACCTAATAAGCCTCCATAAATCAAGCATCTTGACTAGCATACCCACTTCTTATTTTTCTTTTCTTTTCTTCATTTATTTTATTGTCAAAATGATTATTTATGCTGCCTAGTCATTCATACTTCTTATTCCTTATGTCCTACACTACACCAATCTGGTTATTTGCCATGCACTAAAATTCTGGATTCTGCATTAATTAAAAAAACTTTTGCTATTTTGCTTCCTTAAATTAATTCTCAAGTCTGATACTTCAGTTCTCCTCATCTCCCCAATTATGTTGAAGTAAAACTAAGATTTACAATGGTTAAAATACAAAAAACTAATTCTTCCCAAAATGAATTATCAAAAGGCTTGACGAAATAACTGGATTTTAATTTTTAACAGTAGCTTACAACTGCCTATCATTTACCTTTCCATAGAAAACTCACAAACGGGAATTTTCCATATGTTCTCTAGCCTCATGAAGGCATTTGGTTAACTAAAAAAGAATCATCTCATGAATGGTGCGGAAAATGAGTACAATGATTTTTGCCAAGGGAGCAGCAACTCCAGGATCTTTCAAAGTAGCAGCGAGTGGAGAACATGAAGTATGCTACCCATGGCCTTGACCAGGTTCATTCAAGGCAACCCAGGAGGCATGAAATTTCAGACACCAAACTATGTTCAGTTGGATACCTGATATGACTGAAGTGACCACGCTACTACGTGTTCTGGCTCTCTGAGCAGCTTATTTCATCAATTTGTTACTTGTAGGCTTTGAATTGTGCCTGGCACCAAATCAATGCCCAATAAATCTATGAGAATAAATTTTGATCAGAAGCATGCAGTCATCAAGAAACAACCCTTTGCTTGATGTTGAAGAATTCAGTTATCATTTTCACCAACCAGATGCACCCAGAACAATCAAAATACTTCACTTTGAGAGGCTTTGATAACAAACTAGAACTTTGAGGAATGCTCTTTATTGGACCGACTTTTGACTCAGGAGGAAAAAAAAAAGCCTAATTAATGAACTCAGAAAAAATGAAGACAAAAGAAACATAAAATGAACATATGGCCTTTTCCATGATACATGCTGTTATTTTACCTGTCTTCTATTACGCTTATGTGTTATTCATCTTTCTTCCAGATTTGCATATTTCTCCATTTATACATAGGGAATTGGGGACTTTTAAAAGTTTTTCCCTGTCTCTGATGGATTGGACGATGTTTGCAATTCTAGGAGACATCTGATTATTCTTTCAAAATAAATTTATCAGAAGGAGTTTTGTTCTCTAAAATTATTGTGATTCCAGAATTATCTTCTGCTCTTCTGCTAATAGATCTCCTATCATTGTTTGGTTAATGTATTGGGAAGAAACTTGACATCCGGATGTAATCTTCTTTGTCCTGTGTTTTCCCAGCCATGGTCATTATGGGAGAGGGTGACGGGAGAAAGGGCTGGGAAAGAGGGAGCCCTAATGTTAAAGCTAAAGCTAATGTTAAATTTCAAAGAAGAAACTTTAACTTCTCCCTAATATTAAGAACACTGAGAATTAATACTCACTTTTTTTTTAATCAATGTGTCTGAATTCTAGCTATTCCAAACTCTACTTTTCAAGTTCAGAGAAAAGTTTTTTTTTAATCTCATTTGGGACATCAACGATTGTAACTGTTGTTATTTTTAAGATCTGTTTAGCCATTAAGCTACATTACAGTAAATGCAAATATATGAAGAAGAAATGTAAGTTTTTATTATTAAGAATAAAACAATGAGAAACTCCTGAAGTAAATAAGTTAGGCTGTTTCCATCCTAAAGGATGAGCAGCTAGCTTTCCTACCCACTAATGAGCTATTTTTGACCTGACTAAAACATTTCAGTATCCCTCTCATGTCTACTCATCCACAAAGGCTTCCCCCACCCCCATACCATTCCCATCCAATGGGCTGTGTGCCTGATCTGCATGCAATATTGTCCGCCAGCATGAACGATTTACAATGGGCACTTTATTTCTATAATTTAAAAGAAAGAGAGAGAGAGAGGGAAGGAAACAACTCCTGATGGAAAATATCATTTTTTCCTTTCTAATGGATAAGTAATAACCAGGAGATTTCTGAAAAGCTGTCCGGGGTGCCTGTCAATGCTGGCAAAATTTCTGGCCCAGAGAAATATATTCACAAACAGCCCCTGTGATTATGACTTACAGGCCCCTTTGGAGAAAGCTGCTCAGAGAAGAAGCGGAGAAATTATAAAACTAGTCTAAATACTTGGCACGTAGAATTCACTATCCATCCATACATATAGTTTTGTGCAAAATAAAATATATGTTTGAATAAAGCTCAAAACAACATATATGAAATATATGGTTACAAGAACTCCACAATGAAATGCCATTTCAAAAGATGCCAAAGGGCTGGAAATCAGCAAATGGATGTAAATTAGATCAGGCTTTGGCACCTTGCAAATCCATATTCCCATCAGCCTCAATCCTTGTGCTCCAATTTAACTTGATTCTGAAGATCCTCTTTGTGGTTTGATTTGGAACCTATTTCCTCTCTTTTGAGATGAGAACAATAAGGGAGGGGAGAAAGAGTATGTGAAGAAAGGTAACAACAATTTACTTGAATTAGGGATCATTTTGCTTCATGTTCCCTTTCAGTCCCTCCTGCCCTTGCATAGATCTTGGCAATGGTTGCTGTTTCAGTGCCAATTTAGTAAAGGCAGTGGGCATCGTGCTGGAGTAGAGAGGAACAGCATAATGTCTCCAAACAGGAACTGTTTGTCAAACACCAGAAGCCAACGGGGGAAATTAGGAAAATAGGGCTCTCTACAACTATTTTTTTTTCCTACAAGGGGTTAAAGCAACTGTGATAACTCAAATCAGAGCTTTGCTCTACATGGGATTTCTCTTAACAAGGGCTGTCCAGGAGCAGGCTCCTCTGGCCGATTCCCTTGGGAAAACTCTGCAATTTGGGCATAACTTTCCTCTAGGCAACTCTCAGAGTGCTGTTCACTTTGCAGAATATGAAAAACGTATCTCCGATAAGCAAGGAGCTATGTGTGTGCTTAAGGTATATGAAAACTATGTGAGATCCCTCACATGGATTTAAAATGAAAATGATGAATGCAGCATTCGTACAATTTCCATACACATAGTAAGTTTCTTGGATAAAAATTAGAGTTAAAGTGGCAATTTGGCATCCTGTAGAAGAAACATCTGGTTGGTTGACTGCAATTTCATTTGTGAATCAGCAGTTTTGGCACTGTACAGACACAATCAGAGAAAAATTTTATGACGTTGTCTGAGCTTATTTGTGCTTCATTTTAAAACACAGGCAAATGTCCAAGTGTGATTGTGAGGTGATAGTGATATAATAATAACTTAGTCTAGTAAGCAAATCATATAAATACTAATTTTGGTCATATTTACAGTCTGCAGGGTATTTATATATGTATTATATCATTTGGTTCTCTTAATAACCATAAGAGGTAGACAAGGAGACATTTTTAACTTAACAGTTGAGAAAACTGAGGCCACTGGAACTTTTTAAAACTAGAGCTTTAATCAAAGTAATCTGGTTCCAATTGTCATTCTAATTTCAACTCGTTGTGGATAAGGGGGTATGCTAAATTGAAGAAAGAATGTTTTCATGCCTGGTTGGGGTTGTACTTTTGGTTCAGAAGTGGGAGAGCAAAAGGAATGAGATACAATCTCACAATTCAGAATCTGCAGTACAATAATTATAGTGTGTGTTTGTGGGTATGGAGAGATGCCATATATATTTATGTAAGTGTGCACATTTGCATTTTGTGCATGACCATGCCCTACAAATATTGATCAGTACTCGCAAGTGACTTACAACTCATTAGTAGCACTAGTCTAAGCTGTAGCAGTAACGAACACCACCACTGTCATTTTCAATATTTCCTGGATAGGAGACAACTCATCATAGGTGGTGAGTGTCTACAACCTCTGAAGATAGAACCTGGATTCTCAATCTTCATATTTGAAAAAGAAGGTGATCCCTCTTTTTATTTCAATGGGTTTGTGAATGCACCATTTTCACTTTTTAAAGTTCTAAAATATCCAACCTGTTTTTCGTTTGTTTTGTTTTTAAGACACAATGTTCTATGACATTCTGAACATACTGTGAAACTCAGTCTGAGTGGAAATTTAGTTTGCTATTGGCTAATAACTTTTTCCTAGTGGCTCAAATCAGAAGATTCAGGAAGGGGACTCCATGTGTGTGTGCCTAGAAGCACATAAAAAGAAGCAGTACCTGTGCATAATAAAAATAAGGAGATAATGGTAAATAATATAAATGCCAGAAAATATGGTTAGTTTCATGGTCTTGGTTCTTAATTTTTGCCATTTGTTCTGCTTTAAGAATAAAACAAAGAACAAGCTAACAGCCAGGGATTAATGCAAGAAAGGTGGCTCTTCCCCAAACATTCTGCCTTTTTAGCCCACTGTCTGGAAAACGAATTGAGATTTGGGGAACTCGCAGTGCTTTTGCATTTTTCTTCATTAGGAAGAGTATTTGTGAAACAAGCTCCAAATTTTTGCCATTCATGATTCCTGGCCACAGGGTGATATTCTTCAGTGACACAATCTTCAATGTATATGAGGCAGAGGATCATTTCTTATCCTGAGCACACGACGTAGCTAAGACGCAGCTGAAACCACCCCTACCACACTCTCCACTTCAACAACAGCAGCTCATTATCAGAAGCACGTTGTAAAGGGCGGTGCAAGCACAAAAATCAATCTGATCGCCTGTATAGCTCTGCAAAATCATTCCAAGGGAAAAAAAAAAATGCCAGAGAGTAAGGAGAAAAGGGGCTGGGAGGGTGGAAAAGAGCAGGAATGAGGACATAAACCCTCCAAGGTCCATGAGGACTGAAGTTTAATGGCTGAGTGCTTGTTTTGAACTGTGACCTGAGGTTTGGCTGGGCACTAACAGTGGCATGCCTCATCAGCCACTGTCATAGCCACCCCAGGGTATACCTCCAGCAGGGAGTCAGCTCCATATCCTGAATTCTCAACTACCAGCTACCCACTGCCTCCTCCACATGCACTGCTGAGACCCTGCCGAGAAATCAGCATGCAACCCAAGGAAGCATCCTTTCCTCTGGAATAAAAATTAATATTACTTGTCATATTTCATGTCTGAGCTCTTTTCATGCTTTATCCTCTGGTAATGAGGGCTAAATTACCAATATTAGTAGATTTTCATGGCTAGCACAGAAAGAGCTGTTACCAGAATAAATGTTTGCCTTGCTTCTGTTGGACACAGGCTTTGCTAATGCAGCTTTGCTAATTATTTCTAAATAGGCAATAATCTGCATCCCCTAGTGCTGGATAGTGGATTGGCCACGTACCTGCTATTTCCCTTATTTACATGTTTTACAACTTTATCAACTACACTAATTACACTCTGAGCACTGTTTAAAATTTTCTGTTAATAGAGATACAATGATGCACCAGAGGATGTGTATTTATGCCATAATTGCGCCTCTGTTCCTACGATGCAGTCTCCAATTAGCTGTCTACGGTGGCACAAGCAGCTGCCTGATATTCTAAAGCAGTGAAACATCTGCACGGCGGATGATACGCTCACATGGATTTTTTTTTAAGCCTAGAAATTTACACCCAAGGGAGTGCAGACAAATAGGAGCCTGTCATGTGTAGGGATGATTAGAAATCCTCACCATGGCAACATTGGAGCAGCCATGTCACAGAGTGAGGGGACACATGTCTAGATGAAGGCGCTAAAAACATTTGCCATTTTTTTTTAGCTTCAGTCTTCCAAACTTCCCTCCCTCCCCCTTTCTCTTTTTCATGGTCTTCTCTTTGCATCTAAAGCCAACCAAAACAGCAGGTGAAAAGGCCAAAGTCTGCAGCCATGCAAGGCATATGACATACGGGATCTAGTGTTAGGAAAAACAGTGAGCAATCAGAAATGTTAGACCCAGGAAATGTGCTGGGCCAGGAATGGGCGGGAGTGTGTTTTGTTTGAAAAATATCATAATAATTATTATTTCTTTAAGTGGTGGATTGTGTTAAGAGCAAGAGGCAAGATAGAAAATAAATATTAGACAGAATATAACACTTGAGGTACCTTAGTCAAAAGATGACACCTAATTTAAAATTTCCTTTTAACCCTCATTAACAGTTACAATTTCTGCATGAACAGTTGGCTAGCACACATTAGTGAGAGTAGGGAAGGCACACAAATGTCTTCTAGTCTGATATTGAATATATTTCTTAATGGCTGCTTCTTTCATAAGCCTGCCCATATAAGGACACTACATGGATGTATTTAATTACACATTAAAAAAGCCTTTAAATCCTATAGGAAGTTACGATGGAAATGCAAATATATATCATTGTGCATTCTAGAATTATATTGATTTGTATATTATGCTAATTATAATTTTGTTAAGAATAACATTGTACTGGCCTATGATTTGACCACATAGGCTTCAAAGATGCCTCTCATGATATTATATGTTTTGGTCTACATATTACCTTAATTCCTGTTTGAAAATACCAAAGTTTAAGTTATTAATTTAAAAATTGGTCTTCCAAATAATTATTATATCATATGGTTATGGCAACACTTCACAATTAATAACGAAGGCATGTTTAAAAGTATTTAATTAGCAGGGAGCTGAGAGGTGAAGGGGGCTACTAGTAGAGAAATAATTAGGGTGAAAATCCTTTAATACAAAGAGTAATTATAGGTAGGAGCAAAAATGTAACATATGTGCTAAATTATAAGACTACTACAAGCAATGTGAATTGCATTAAGGTTCAAACCATATCAGTTAAAATCAGCTCCTGTTCTGTGACAATGGTCCCCTTGGTAAGGCACTAGCTTGTCCATACTTGTGTTACTTAACATTACTTTGGGCTGCTACCTCAGAAATGCCAAGATGTCAGGGTAAGGTACAGATAATTCTATCATAACTGGAGTTCTTCTGGGAATAAATCTCAAAAATGTACATTTAAAAAATCCTTTAATTCATTCCATTGAGAACAAAGACAATATTAGGAAATGCTATAGTTAAATAAATACTTAGTTTATTTTTGGAAGTATACATGTATGCATACGCATAAGTATACATATATACATACATTCATAAAGACTGGCAATGCTTTCAAAATAACTGCATAATACTATATGCCTAGAGTATAAAATCTCAAATTGGGATAGTGATTAGAAGCAGGGTTTTATAGTTCCTCAACATGTTTAAAATAACTTCATGAAATTCTAATAAAAATTTAAAGAAAAGATCATCTTGAGTTAACAGACTATATTAGCATTATCTTGGGTTAATGGCAGATAAGTCTCCTAAGACCACTTCTTCTAATTTTCTAACATTCTGGTACCACTGGGTACATGATGATCAATATTTCAGTCAACCCCCTCAGGCTCCTGGCTTTTATCAGACCATGGCACTAAGACACCTTACAGTGTTTACCAATGAAATCATAAAACGTTAGGTTAACAGTGAAAATGTCTTTCCTCTACTTAACACTTTAGTAACATGAGAATTAGTTATTTATTCAGTTCCAAAAGAGAATCTGAGAGTTGCCTCTTCCCCACCATATCCTATAAGTAAATTCTGAGTGCAGTTGGAGAGTGTCTACATAAATGATTCTTGTCATTACTCTGGTCTGTGGGTCTCGCTGTCCCTCAGCATACTATATTTTGTACAAGCCTATATTAGAGAAGTATGATACTGAAGATCCACCATCCACCACATCTGTCAGCATAGGGACAGAGTTTATCTGATAAACAAGTCATTTTTAGAAACTGCAGATGCTCCCACTGTGAAGTATTAAATGTGGCCCCGCTTAGATACATAGAATGGGGTTCCGGTTGACTGAACGCAGGCTGATAAGCTCTGAACAGCTCAGAATGCTGTTTGCCCACATACTAATGTTAAACAAAAGAACCGCAGACTGCAGAGAAAGGATGCGGGTCAGACCAGTAAATTGCTTAAACCCTTAGGCAGCCTTCTGAAAAGAAAAGGCATGAAAGAAGCTGATATGAGCTTTTATGCAGAATTGTTCTGTTTATTATCCCTGTTAAGGAAATGATGGCAAGTGCCTTGTTAAACTATATATTCCCAATAAGACAAGAGGACTGACTCTAAACAAGATGCAATATGCCACTGGTCATCACTTGATAAACCATACATATCTTCTATATTATTTCTATATTTAGAATGTAATGCGAAAGACAATAATTTAAGCTGTACTCATGAAAACCATAAAGGCTGTTAAATGTGTCTTAGTATTACACTACCTGATTTGTCACTGAGTATTCCAAGCTAATAACAATCCGTCATGGAAGAAATCTATTTTGTATAAAAATTTCACTACCTTCCATTAAAACTTTGTTAGTTTTCAAACGTGATGACTATATTTCAAATGAATTGCTGAGACAGCTTAATAATAAAATCAGAATGAAGTATATCATTGTGACAACATGTAAACTTACCCTGAATAGAGCAGGGATACAATTTTATTAGTAAAATTCTCCAGTGGATAACATGACAGTCAGTATTGAATCTCCCCTGTGTTAGGGGTTGGAGCTGGGGGAAGGGAGAAAAAGATTCTTGAGTTTGCTAGACTTTCAATACTTTCCCTCAGGTCTGACCCCCTCAAGAAACAGCATCTTTTCTGAAAGCAGATTTTTCTTCCACTCAGCCCAGTCTCCTCTCCCTCCCCTCCTGCAGAGACACTCCCATTCTGATTCATGTTTTGGGACAAAGGAAATGAGGAAAAATCCCAAGGCTTAAAGAAAACCTGATGAGAGAACCCTAACAGATAAGCAATGGATTTCATCCAAATCACAAAGCAAGAAAAGATTTGGCAATCAAAGGGCCACAAACATACAGAAGGAGAAAATAAAGCTATATGATGTAAAGACAGCATAAAGAAAAACATACACAGGCAATTGCACCAACAATAAAAAACTAAAAATTACCCCTTTGCTTAAAACTAGTATAACATGTCATTGAGTACTACTTTGACATTTTCCTGCGGCTTTTCTCAACAGGCAATAAATGAAAACAATCTTGAAACCATTCTGCTAAAGGCTCAGTGTAGGAGGCATGTCCATACTTTGTCATCAGATAATCTTACAATCAGGGTCAGACTTAAAGAGTTTACACCAATAGGCGCAACAGGTTTTTAATAGGAAATACTCAACTCTGCTTCTAAACGTTTAAAAAACAAACAAACTGACAACAAAATAAAAAATTAAAGATACACACACACTAATATGAGTCTTCTGTATTATTAATATAATCAAGTTTTAGAGAAAATAAAGTTTGATAGTTCTGCTCTTAAAGAACATAAGAAACTGAGTACTAAATTAGTAACAAAGAGAGCCCAACCAGCCAAGGGGAGCAGAAGGGAATTGATATGCCAATCCAGGCACATGGGACTGCTGATTGTGTGTACTCAGTCTGAATTAGTAGAGAGCTTAGCTAATCACAGACATCAAAGTGAAAGGCAAATGGACAGTAGTAAAAAACATTCCAGATTTAAAAATAAAACAAAACAAAAACAAAAGCAAGATTCTGACATGGTGACATTGCAACTCTAGTGAATGGTCCGAGGAGGGAGCTGTTGACACAAGTTCCTGGGTGGAGATAAAATGACACCATGCATCCACAGAAAAGAAGTAAAAGGGAAGAGAACTTAACTAAACAACATATTTGAAATGATTTGGCAGAAATAATGTTCATTTAAGCTACAAATCTCCACTCTCAGGGTATCACCTAACATAGATCCTTTCTACATGCTCCCTCTGGGTGTGGTCCAGAGCCAATGTGTCCAGAGCAGAGTCGACACATTCTTCAGATTACACAAATAAATTCACCCCAACAAAGAGGAAAGTGCTGAGAAAAGGCTAATAGGAAGTGAGTTAACCCCTGCAATGCTTGCCATATTGTTATGGTAAATATTTAGGATGGCCAACTCATTAGATAAATAGATTCCAAGGACGCTCTCATCCTCAGGGCTACTCTGAGACCCATGTGAAAGGACAAGGCATGCAGGAGATGTATCCTTTTGCATAATGCCTGATTCCAGAATGCATAATGGGCACATCACTCCAAGTACTTTCCATTGCACACATTTTCCTTTATAGAAGTTTTGCAAAGTAAGCCTTTTTTTCTTCTTTTTCCTCGGTGATACGCATTGACAGCCTTCAGATGACGAACGTAGATGGTTATATCTGCAGGCTGCAAATTCTATCTGCTCAAGATTTATTCCCAAAGACCCTCACCTACCTAATCTGAAAGGTCCTTGCAGGGCACAGGGCTCACCGCTGTGCCTAAAAGGTCAGCAGTGGCAGAAGGCAGGGCTGAGGTGGAGTGGGATCTTTGGAGCACTCTGTCCTCAGCAGCTTTCTGCCTTTTGCCTCAGCACTCCCTTGGGGAAGACCTACAGGAAGCATACACACACACACTCCCTGAGTATGAGAGCAGCACTGATAACATTTGTTCACAACAATGCAATACATCTTTTTTAAAAAATTAGACTTCCCCCTTTCTGCTTTCTTTCCTTTATACCCCTGGGTATGAGAGGGTGAAGAGTTAGCTCAAGGAGAAATATTACATAACTTGGTAAACTTTATTTTGGATGAATTAGTCTTAAAAAATAAAACTATTTTTTTTAACAACACATATACATTTTCTTTCAGAAAACCTACCACAGAGGCTATTATGTGAAATCAAGGAATCGTTCTGAAAGCACAAATATTGAAATGAGAAAGGGATTCTTTTATTTTTAAATTATGTGAAACTTGCACACATATCCAGCTACTATCAGAAAGCATTTCACTTACAGGCCATAAGAATATGTATACCTTTTGGAAGTGTAAAAGATTCTTCTGAATTAACATTCACTAAAAGTAAAGAATATAAAAAATAGCAATACTAAAAATATGTTTTGACTCCATATATGCTTGAAATGGCAATAAAAAGTACAAATAGACCAGAGAATTTATTTTCCATGAAATTTTGGTAAAAACTTATGAAATGGTGAGGAGTCGACTTGAGTCATTAAAGATTACCTTGACTTAAAATGCTCTGTTGTCTATAATATCCCACCTATCCTCATAACATACTTACAATGTGGAACATAATTTATTTTCTATATCAAAGTTTTTAAATACAGAAACTATGGTAAGAGAAGTCAGTGACCATTAATTAATGCTTTAATTAATTAATTAATTAAAGATTTTTTTTTTTGTTTGGTGCATGTTTCTTAAATAGCTTTTTCTTTTGGCAGGGTAACTTCAGGCCTTGGGGTAAGTTCCAAAGTTTACTTTTGATGTATTTCCTAAAATTGGTTCTCAAAAACACATTTCCTAAAGTTGACTCTCAAAAACATGATGCCTAAATGTTATTCATCATACAACACTGAAGATTTACATGTTGATCCATTAAATGGTTTTCATTCTCTAATAAAGAATTCTCCAAGGCTGGCTATCTTATGTCTGAATTGCCAGTGTGTTTATGAAGTGTGCTAATTGATCACTCTGCATGACCATGACTTATTGTTCTGTTAATTATTTAAAAGCCATGTTTAAAAAAGAATGAAGAACATAAAATGTAAATGAAAAAAATAAAAAACATAGGAGTAACTATTGAACAGTTTGGTAATTTTCCGTCAATAGGAACCGATTTTGGCATCAAACATATTTCTAGAAGGAGATCAAAATGAACAGCATGTTTTAGGCTTTAAAGTTTATATCAAGGTTGTGCTTACATAAGTCAATACGTCCTGGAGGCTCTTGCAGCCAGCCATCCTTGCATACTGAGTCTATCCCCAACTTCTTATTTGTGTGTCCTCTTAACATACTCCACCTCTTCAGATCTGTTTCCTCATCTATAAAATGTTAATAGCTAACTCATAATGTTGGTGTGAAAATTAATTGATTAGTTAATGTGATTAATAGATCATTCTTAATTTCATCAATTCAGGTGATTAAAGATTTTGTAATGAATTAACTTGATATTTTGATTTTATTTAGAACAAACTATTGGAGATAAAATAAATGATTAAATCAAAAGAGTCACCATGCAAGTGAACCGTATACTTTCTTTTTTTAACGAAAAGTTTAAAAGTCTTTTACTGGAAAAGACATGAAAGAGTTATCTGAGTATTTGGGTTCCAGTCTTAGTTTCTTCTCAGAAGGAAATTCTGTTCCTCAGTGTCTCCCTCTGCAGAACGAAAGGGAACTTACTGCCAAGTAATATCCTCCTCCGACATACTCTGAATATGGGGCAACCTCATTTAGAAATCCATTACTTTGGTTTACAGGTTTATCATCCAAATGCGAACGTTTGTGAATAAAAGGGGGCTGTGTTGACAACCACTCTCCCACAATAGGAATAAACTTAGGTTCTCTCTAGCAGACAGACTTTTGGTCTATCTACCTGTAAGTATTATCCTACTGGTGAGCAATTTGTTTTAATTATTATATGAAATCAATAACTTGTGAAATATTTTCCCCTTAATCACATTCTTCCTACCCGAGTGATGTATAAATACTCTCTTTAAAAAGAAGAGCTAAAGTGAATTTTAAGGAACTACCTAGCATGTTAAATAATTGCTACTGTAGGGTATGAGAGAAATCCTTGTTATATAAAAACTATTTTCTGCAACAATATTTTTTAAAGCAAGTATCTGTAAGGGTTTCTTAATTTGGTAATACTGACAGTTATTCATAGAAAAGGAGTTTGCTGAATTAAAGTAAATAGGAAAACACCCAGCCATTTTTAGACAATTTCAAAAGGATGTAGAAGTCTGACATTAATACTCATTGATTTTTGCCTTAATTTTGAAATGCAAGCCATTATAGACTATTGATGATGCTTTTGTTTTTAATCTCTTTGCTGATATCTCCATCACCTTTAACTTACACACAGACCCTGAACAAGGTGTTATGAAATGCTGTTGCATTATCAATGATGCAGCAACATACCTTTCTGGCCAGTTGAGGGGAACAGAATCAACTCATGAGAGCTGCAGAAGCTCTCCTAGTTGGGTACAGGATCATCTTGCCATCAAATGTGACCTGACACAATCAACAACAGTTGATATATGTGCTGTAGTTACTAAGGCTAAACTCTTGATCAATATGTCAGATTTCAAAAGCGATTGCAACAAAGTAGACTCTGGATTATGAGGGAGCTGAATGCACAAAGGCAATGGAAGGACAAATCAGGCAGGACTGCCTGCATTTTGCATGTCAAAGGACGGAGCACATGATGCTGGATCTATAAATGCCTCAGTACTTAGGAAGGCAGTAGTCTGTGGATCATTCGGGGGGCTAAAAATGTTAAACATTACAAGTTAATTATTAGTAAGAAGAAGAAGGAGAAGAGGAGCATGAGCACGCACAGTTCTGTAAACCACAGTAATTCTGCCCAGGCCTGTGACTTGCTCAGACCTCACCTAAGCATCCATTAACATGATAATGCCCATTAATCCCGCCAAACACAACTCATCTGTCATCCTCAGTGGCAACCCATCTGTGTGCATGTTGAGGGGGGAAATTCACAGTTTTAGCTGTCCAGGGATTAGCTTCAGAGGAAAGGCTGATTTTCCCTAATTCTTTGCTAGGAAAGCACTCATTTGTTTGCATTTATTGAAGCACCTATTTACTTTTCAGCTTTCATCATCTCACCAACATCTTAAGCAGAAGATGGATAAAATGGCAATAAAAACATTTCAGAAGAATCAAGCTGAAGCCTAATTTAGTTCCTTCTCAAAGTTTGTGAAATTATTTATTTTTATTTCTTGTCTGATTTCAGAATTGCTTTCTGTCACAGCAAAGGAAAATATGTACATATTTTTATATCTTTAAAGTGTTGTCCATTAAGAGGCTATGCTCTTTTATATTTGCTTTTCTCTAATTGATATAAAATGGGTAAATGCTATGTATGTTTTTATTATCATATATATTCTTTGTTGTGTGAACAAGAAAGAGACAATATTACTTCAGAAAAAGTAAAAATAAAAGGAGCTTAGTTTTTTTTCTCATGATTAAAAACAAGCACAGTGATATCTCATCTTGCCATGAACCTTACCCAGTGGTTAAATAGTTTGTTCTTTGAGATGTATCTATTTTGAATAAAATTATATATGTATAATAAATACAAATTCCCTTCTAATGCAAACTTACAAAAGTATTAAAAAGCACTGGCAATACAAATAACATCAAAATGTTTTAAGGGTAAATCAACTATTCCACTCAGTCAATTTGGAAAGAAAAATCAGTTACAAGGCATCATGACCCGTTGGCTCACCTAATTGTTTTACTTTTCAACTAGCTATATTAGAATAATGCAGCAATGACCTGCTGTGATAAGCAAAACATTCAAATAAGCATTAAAAATAGACAAAATCAAGCGACTAACCTGGCTGATTTTTCACCAAAATCATGTCATTTAACTAAACTGATTAGCAAGTTTATTTTTAAAATTTATATTTTTCTATGAGCACGGCCAGGCATTTTTTGTTAATATCTATAAAGGTGATAAGTATCATTTATTTGTATTATCCTTATCTAGCATGTCCTCAAGTGGGGTGTTAAAAGATCTTACATGAAAAGTATTCCATCATAAAATAAGTTTGGTAAAAATTGGGCTAAAAAGAAGTTAACCAGTCCCAACACTTTGGGAGGCCAAGGCGGGTGGATCACGAGGTCAGAAGATTGAGACCACGGTGAAACCCCGTCTCCACTAAAAATACAAAAAAAATTAGCCAGGCGCGGTGGCGGGCACCTGAAGTCCCAGCTACTCGGGAGGCTGAGGCAGGAGAATGGCGTGAACCCGGGAGGTGGAGCTTGCAGTGAGCCGAGATAGCACCACTGCACTCCAGCCTGGGCGACAGAGCAAGACTCCGTCTCAAAAATAATAATAATAATAATAAAAGTTAACCAGGTTAATTCTGTACAGGACTTCTTAGTTAATGAATTTCGTGTATCTATAAGTAAGAAACACATGAGGAAGTTACTTTACATGTTAAACTCTATTTCCTCATCTGCAAAATGGGGGAAAAATACAGAACCTGAAACCAATTAGTTCAGGCAAAGCAATTAAGAGTGCCAAACACCCAGCAAGCAGTTAATCAAAATTAATTAATATTATTAGAATATACATATTTTTAAACATATTTGGCAAAATATTTTTCCCATGTAACAGTACTTGAAATTAAATTTGCAGAATTCACTATGGAAAACATTACTCTAGAGTAACATTGGGAGGTTTCTACTAATTGAAAATATTTGTTGGAAAATGTCTCCACTAATAATCCCTCAATGTGAAAAGAGTTAAACAGCATGAATTAAAAAAAAAATCTACCTATTAAAGAAGGACAATTAAAATTAAGCCTGTACATTCAAGGAAAAAGGATCAAACTATAAACCTTGTTACTTGAACAACTTCTTTTTGGGTATCTTGTACCGAACATCCATCACTACCTGTCCATCACATCTGGAAAATGAAACAGATGTTAGAAAGCTGACACAATAAAACAAACACTACTATTTAGCTTTTGTTTTCTTTTTCTTCCATTCAAGATGCCACTAATAGAAATGACATAAAATCTGTGTATGGCAGCATTTCTGAAAAAGAACAACTATGTAAATAGAGCATGAAGGAAGCATGAAAGAATCTGGCAAGCTCCATTTGGATCTTTAGATCTAATAGCCCAGATTTGGCCCTCAGATGTGCATGCATGCATGAGGTGATACTGAATTTGACCGAAGCTGTGCAAATAATCCAAAAGCAAAATGAGTCCGATGCTTGGTGCCTAAAGAGTTGGAACTGCAATTTCCAGATGAGATAGTCATAGAAAAGCTGCCCAGGCAAAAAGGAAATGTCCTGTTTCATCCTCACTGAGAACAGTGACATTTTAAGATAAAGTAATGTTTAGAGATTTTAAGTTTGTTTTTTCCTACAGCACCAATAACCAGAATTATTTTCAAATATATTTATATCTATTAAAAGTAAATTTTGTGAAATAAAACACATTTCCTTTCAATTGCATAGAAATATGTGGGTATTTATGAACTATCAAAGTCAGTGAAAGATTTAAAACCCATATGTGTATGTAGAACTTCAGCTCCACCAAAGTGAACCCTATGCATTTGCCTGAATATGCAATGATGCAATCACTAAAATAAATGTACTTGCTGCACTCAATTAAACATTGTATTGTACATGTGTGTTTATTCAATTGTGTGACGATAGAGTGAAACACACACGCTTGGCGCATTTGTCTCAATCTGTAGTGCATTTATTTAAATGTACAATCAATCACAGGCCTTTGCTTTTAGTATTTTCTTTGTATTTTTAGAGCATGCTAAATATACACCATTGTGTGTATTCTGTGACATGGTGAAGAACTCAAATGCACACTAAATAAAGTAATATAAAGTTCAAATTTAAGAGAAAGAAATTACGCAACTAATATGCATAAATGGACAATTGCTGTCAGAGTTGTACGTACTGAGCTGTTCCTGTTGATAGATGACTGCATGTATAGTTATATTAATACATATTTAATAATAAACAGAAACAATGTGAAAGGTATTCAAACCTATATTAACATATTTTCTTCATAATTATATATAGCTTTACTGTCTTATTCTATATCAATAATTATTTCAAACATGTTTATTATCATATTCATCAAATTGTTCTATTTTCTGAATTTGTTGTGACTCATCCTTCTGCTTGTTATGTCTGTTAGCTCTTATTCAGGGTATGGTATATCACATTTTATAATTTTAAGAAGTAAACTCATCTTCAGGAGGGCACTATCTGTGCCTATTCTACGTGGCCTGAGTTGAGGAAATGTTCCTCCAGAGCAACTTTTCCTGTGGCATTCTGGCCTAAGACCAATTTATTTTAATACTAAATTCTAAACTCATCTTACTGCAAGTTTCATATTCTAAAAGGACCTTTTTTTCTTACATCCAGTGCCAAGACAAAGAGAGAAGAGCTCTCTTGCCCACCTCTGGCTTTTTGTCCATGCTGTTCTCTTAACCTAGAAAGTGCTTTTATTCTGTGCTTGACATGATCAAGTCTTCTCATCTTTTAGATCTTAACTTACAATTCACCTTTTTAAAGAAGCTGTCCCTAAAGACACTTCCACTCTTTTTTATTTACATATTCATTCAATTAACATTTATTGATTGCCCACAATATTTCAAGCACTGGGAATACAGTAATGAATGGAACAGATGCAACCACCGTACCTACGGAGTTGATAACCTAACAATATGATCCTTCCATGCTTCATCTCAGTATTCCATTTCTTGCATAGTGCATGCTATAATTTCTAATTTTTCTATTTGCTTACATTTTTCTTTGTTTCCCTATCTTACTTGGCTACATGTTTCCTAAGAACCAGCACTATGCCTCTCTTGCTCACCTACATTTTCCCTGACATCCAGAACAGTGCCTGGAACATGGTAAGTGGTCAAAAAGTATCACTTGAATTACTTAGTTAAGAGAAAGACAAATAGGTTTAGTCCTTGCAATAACCTAAAGCAACTAATACTGTCACTATTTTGCAGTTAAAGGCATAGAAGCTGAGTAGCAATAATGGTAGGTCCAAACCATGTTGCTGTTCAGTTACAGGACCAGAGATTAGCACTAAGTCAGTGTAATTCAGTACATAATTGTATTAATTGTATTTTGAATTATTTTATTGTGCACCTGTGAGCAACAGTAAATTCCTAAGAGAGTAAGCTGTGAGGAGAGCTAGGTTTAAATTTAGAAAAGTTAGTGAACCATACTCATCTCTAGTGGGGATAATAATCTCTAACTCAAACTATAAACATCAATTAAGATAGTAGATGTAAATTCTTACAACAATGTGAATATTATTTCTGATTATTCTCATAAGAATGTGAATATTAATTCTGATTATTATTATTACATAGGAACAAATAATGTATAATTGTCAGAAGCATCTTCTATGTGAAAGTTATTTGAACTATAGTCATTTCAGTGAAAATCCAGGGCCCATTTCTTATACTTCTCTTATCTTTAGAGTAGCAAAGAAGTCTGTGCTACACCTCAACAGGCATTCAATCTATGTGTGTTGGGTGGATGGTTAGATGGAGATATGAAGAAAGAGGGACTAAATTAATTCTTTTTTAAAGAAAAAATAGGTCATAAAATATAATAATATAAGAATATATTTTTAAAAATATATGTCCAAACTTGAAAAGTATTTTGAATAGTATTAAAAATGCATGGTCTTTTAAAGTGAATTTAAATACAAGAGTGTTGTGTGTTTATTGAGTTATCACTCTGGGATCAGAACAGTCCAGAATTTTAGCCCAGACTGTCCCCTTAACTTTGTTATGTAAGTCATGTACTATCTCAATACCTATAAAATGGTGATACCAGTAGCAAAACAAAACAACAACAACAAAAGGACCATGATGACACTTGAGTGACATATTTGATAAGGCCACTGACATCATTAAAAGGATATTTTAAAATTTTTTAAATTCTGACACCTTAAAATATTATGCTCATGGGAGATGGGATTATTTTTAGCAATAACTGACAATGAGCACCTTAGGTAGAGAGAAAAGGGCCAAAGTGTCAGTCATTACTTCATTACACTTATGTGGAAATTTGAACTTTTTTTTTAAGTGAGACTCACATAAAGGTTTTCTTCTTTATCCCCACTTTGAGTACTCAGTTATCAGTGAGCTTTTTCTAATCCTTAGCAGGGGGAGTTCAATGATGTGGTGGGAAGCTCAAGAAAAGAGAACAAACCCTTTGAAAAAATATGGCCCCTAGTAGAACAATCTAGGAGCTCCAAGGTGAGCCTCACTCAGCCTTACAGGTGCCTGAACTACTCCCTGTCATTCACCAAACCCAAATTAGCCAGAGATTATCCTTCTTGCTATCCAGCATGGGTTCACTGTGGGCTCCTAGAGGAATACATATACCTCCTTTTCCACCAAGGACAATAACTTAACCTGCCCTATGGGAGCCAGGCTGTTGAGCCCAGGATAACTCATATAAGGTTGGGACCTGCTGCCTTGGAGCCAGGAAACCCGAGATAGAAGTGGCCACATTTGGCATCCTCCCTCCATCAGGACAATGAATTTATCAGCTGACTCTGAGTTGCTTTATTGATGAAACCTATTTGTCCTCTGGCCACCATCCATTTTACCTTGTCCAGATGTTTGCTACTTGAACTACATCATTTTTGCCTAATGCTGCCTATGCCATATGGCACTGATACCACCACTGCCTTGCCTGAAATGCTTCTAGCTCAAGTCCCTGGTTATTGGCGTAATTATATCTCCCTAGTGTGCGTGACACAGTCCTGATTTGCACCTATTGTCCCTGTATAATATCCGCAACTCTGCTTTTCCTCTTAAGAGCCCTGGTTTGGACCATAAATCATAAATCATGTGATCATATTGCTATACTGTGTAAAGGATCTGCCTTCATATCCATCCAATAGAGAAATGCATCCATTCCTAATGTAGATAAACCAATCACTGCTTTAGGCTATCCATGAAAACTACAAGTGATTAAAAACCAATAATTTGACCCCTAATGCCATAGTATTTATCAATAACTGATACATTATATGTTCCTTGTTTATTTTTTTTTCTGTCTTCCCTAGCTGGACTGTAACTTTCATAAGGGTGCGGGCTTTTTCTGTTTTGTACAGTACTGTATCTTCAGCAATAGAAGGTTAGTAATAAATATTTTTGGGCAAATAAATAAATGAAAAAAATCCAAGGACTAATGCAGCACAATTTGAACCTTACTATGGTCCTAGAAGTACACTGAGGTCTTTATACATAATGTATTTTTCAATCCTAACAACTCTATAATGCAAATATTACCTTTAAAGAGGAATAAACCAAGTAAGAACAAGGATAAATAATTTGGGTACATCCCACAGCCAGAATTCAGTGAACCCAAGATACACCCATGGAATCTAGTACCAGAGTGTAAATAGCCTGCTGATGCTACTACTGAAGCATATACCCTTCAGTTTGTTCACTTTCAAATGTTTTGTGCGGACAGAAATAAACAAACTATATTTCGTTCTAGCAGACTTGAGGAAGATCAGGTTTAGAGAGAGTTAAATGCTTTCAGTTTATAAGAAAGTACATTTTGATTTTTAAAAAACCAATAATGCAAAAACTTGTCATACATCCAAGTCTAGAGAGTAGTTAATGAAAAAGCATATGCCTTATTTAACTATTTCTTTGAGATGGCTAAAATTGCTAACACTAGAGCAGGCAGTGTTGACTGCACTATCACCATCTTGCTGGTAGACAGTATAGGGAACAGTTAGTGCATTTAGCAGCAAGGTGTAAACACGCTGTGGCAAAGCAGGAAAAAGCAACCAACTACAGCATACATAACACTTGGATCTCCTCTCATTTTAAAAGTTATACCATTTTATTACAAACTTCTCCTACCCTGCCAGCACTCTCTAGTCAATTCAGAGTGGTCACTAAAAGATTGATTTTGCATGCCAAAGAACTTAGAATTTATTTTTTACTGATTTTGTCTACTGGGATTATTGCCATTCACATCAAGTTTAAGTTACCTGTCCAAGTCCCCAAGGGTTTTCACCATTCCTCTTCTCTCTTATTCTCTCCAGTCATTGTTTCCTCTGACCTCCTCACCTCTCTCTCACAATCTCAACCATCTGGAACAATTTTCTTATTTTCCTCTGACAAGTGTCATATCTTACTTAAGACTCTCCTTAAAACTCTTCTCATCTGAGACAATGATTTCAAGCTTTCTTTGATAGATGTGTGGGCATTCTGGTCATGACATCTACCACCTCACTGATACCCAGGGGTTAAATGCTGCTAGTCTACCATCTAGTCAATTGATCCCACCTTTCAGGGACTTATCAGGTCCTTTTTAGAGGGGGAAACACTAAAAAGGACCTGATAAGTCACAGAGAATTCTCTCTCCAGATAGAGTTCAGGCACTACTATAGCCCACCACAAGAAGCACCAAATATCCTCTTGGATAATTTGAGAAAACAACTATTCTGCCTTCAAATATCAGCAGCATGTGGGATGATCTGAATGCATGGCTTACAAATTTGTGTTCTCTGTGTGGCTCTTTAAGTATCAGGAGAAAATATTCTATTGAAATTATTGCATTTACCACCTTTTTGAAGTTACACTACATGGATAATTTAAAACAGAGAACCAAGGCCTATCACAATTTCAATAGAGAATCTCATAGGCATAATAGAACATGCATTTAAAAAATATGTTTCATAAAACTCTGATACCAGAAGATGTAAGCTAGAAGGGATTTCATGGCCACGCAGCCTTGGAAAGTAACACACACATGCTTCCCACTCTGTAAACACATAATGAACATTAATGAACACAGGGAATAAGTCTCTGTGAAGTCCTGTCAAAAGCCATCTCTACTACTATTTTACTCAGTATTTCCCCAATTTGTTCCATCACTGAATTCTCCTTTTAATTGACATAGAACACCATGTTACCTAGCAGAACTAGCATTCAACAGAACACAATTTAAGAAATATTGTCTCAGAAAACAAAAGTTGGGACAGGTGTATAAAATAAGTCAAGTCCAGCCTATTGATCTTATTGGTAGATATAGATGTCTCTCAAATTCGTGAAACATCGTCTATTTTAATTTCTTTATCAGCTTTCTTGAGTCTAAATTTCTCTGTGCCAATCCATCTTCCCCCATTCCCTGATGAAGTAATTTCTCATTGCTCAGCACCAATCTTTTTAACTGAAGTCAAACACCTCAAAATTACCTATTTGTCGTAGCCTAAAATTCACACTCCTTAGCATGGCCTTCTGTAATTTGAATGAATTGAACATGTAATTGCAGAGTCATCTAAAAAACCTATTTGTCATAGCCTAAAATTCACACTCCTTAGCATGGCCTTCTATAATCTGAATGAATTGAACATGTAATTGCAGAGTCATCTATCATTATTCCTTCTAAATGTGCCCAATGTGCTGACGAAAGTGTAACTTTTTTTCAAAGACATTCACTGGTTGCCCACCTCTGGGACTTCTGCTCATTTCTTCTTACCAAATCCTGCCTCACCTTTGAGGGTTTCTCAGTGGTACTTTCTCCATAAGGGCTTCTAGGACTCCCCTAGTTGGAATTTTACATTTTTTCATGTTCCTAAAGTGCAATTTACCTGTATGTCAGCTTATCAGACTATGTTGTGTATTTAATGACTTGTCTGTTATTCTCAGTGAGACAGGAAACTCCTTAAGGATAGGGTCTGTGTTAGGTTTATCCCAGGATCCTACTGCACAAAGTAGATTCACAGTAAATATTAGTACAGTTAAATCATATAGTCCACAGTCACACAGACAGTCAGCAACAGAGTGACAACCAGACCACACCACCTTCCAAAACTGGTATTGTTGCTAATGAAACATAGTAAAAGCAATGGAAATATATGGTTTGGTCTAATTTTGTACTTTCAGATTTTCATTGGAACTACAAGATACCACCAATATTTCCATTGTTGTATTCTCACCAATTCAATGTTTTAAGGAAGAAAAATTATGATATGAGAAATTAGTATATAACTCACAAAGGGCAATGTATCAAGTTAATTTTATAAAATCAAACGAATTGTGTGAATTATTGTTTCTAAAAATAAGCAATATTAGAATGATAAAGAAAGTGTTGTATGAGGCTTGAAGATAGGAATAGCTTTCATCGCTCCTTCAGGGACATCCTACTTCTATGACCACCATTAACTCTTCAAGCCTCTATTTCTTCATCTGTAAAATGTCAAACATTTGTTGAGTGTTGAGCACCAACAGTGTGCTTTGTATTGCTAAATTAACTTATACTAAGCATATAATCTCATATAATTTTATGACAAGCATATGGGGTTGATATTATTTCCATTTTATATGTAAGGAAACTGAAGCTCGGAAATTATTCAAATCACTTAACTAAAGATGCACAGCTAGCCACTATGTATGGCAGAGGCAGAATTCAAACCCAATTTGTCAGAGGTAAAGCAAATTTGGTTTCTATATTTTCTATTCCAGAAGTAGTGGTAAGAATTAAATAAAGTGATAGATGTCAAATCCCCTGATATAACACATATAACACTGGATTTGCTCTACAAATGTCCCTTTCTTTCTCATTTTCTTCTCTGCTCATGGAATAATGGAATTGCATCAAATAAAGAATGAGGGTTGGGCGTGGTGGCTCACACCTATGATCCCAGCACTTTGGGAGGCCAAAGTCGGTGGATTGCTTGAGCCCAGGAGTTTGAGACTGGCAACAGGGTGAAAGCCCACCTCTACAAAAAATACAAAAATTAGCCAGGTGTGGTGGCACACACCTGTTGTCCCAGCCTCTTGAGAGTCTGAGGTGGAAGGACTGATTGAGCTCATGAGGTTGAGGCCGCAGTGAGCCATGATCGCACCATGGCACTCCAGCCTGGGCGAAACAGCAAGACTGTCTCCAAAAAACAAAACAAAACAAAAAATTCCAAAAGCCAAAACCCAAATCAAAAAAAAGAATGAGAAGATCTGGGTTCCAGAAAGGTTTTTAGTATCAAGTGGGGATAATGAGACCATGACTACGAAGGAGCTTTAAAATTTCAAAAGCCCTTACAAATGTAAATTTTTGTTACTCATTAAATGAACAATCACTACAGTATGCACTTGCTTGTGTGGCATTCTCAGATTTTGGTTCCAAAGAGATAAGTGACATTTTATGTTGAGGGCTCAACTCTACATACATCTGTTTAAACCCATCTCTAAGGGAAAAAAAAACCAAAAACAAAAAAACAAACAAAAAAAAACACTTGAATTTCAAAAACATATTATTTATTATTTTGACTTTTTTCTTTGCTAACACAGGTAAAATGACTAAAGTCTAAATTAATTGATTCTAGCCAGGTGGTCTCTGAATTCCTTCCAGAGAGTCAAGTCTATGTATTCAATGACATTACGGAGCTGAATACCATAAGAAACTATCCTGTCTCTCACAGTTTGTCTCTAACTTTCAAAAAATTTCTGTAATTTGAACTTGAGCTATCTGGTCCTTGAGTTTGGATATGGACATTCAGAGAAATATACAGAAATTCAAAGGCCATTGCTCTGTTTTCTGGTTAGTTTTATCTGACTCAGTAGCATCTTTTCTCTTTAACATACACACACACACACACACACACACACACACACACACACACACATTTATGATCAAAGAAATGCCAAAAAGTATGCAGATGTAATATAAGCCAATCATCTAAATGTTTAAAAAATATACAGATGTTAGATTTAATGTAGATAAACCATCTGGCAGATCTGCTTTGTTTTTTACTTTTTATCCAGCTGTTGGATTCTGTGGAAGGACAGCCTAGGTCTATACTTAGATGCGCAAAGAAAATGATGTCAGATGTATATTGCTAGTCCTCTGGAAAACACTTCCTATTCAATAGGTTGTAGGCACCATTAGTGTTCTTGAGAGAGAAAAACAGAAATTCCATAGAGAAATGATTTTTATTTGGAACTGCCTACATTAGAACACATTTCATGGACTATGTTTTTTCATTAATGCATCCTCTTAAAATAATATAGAAATTTAAAGTAAGAATATAATTCCTACTAGCAAAATTTCCATATTCACTTTGACAGCAAGTTAATAAATATTTACTTCCAGGGAGCAAATCATCTTTGGCAGGGTGAAAAAGAGTGCTGCATCAAACCAGGACCAACTTAGAGACCAGAAGATGTTCTACCAAATACTTGTGTCCCTCTTCTAATATCAGCAAACTCACATGTGATGAGGCACCAAAATAAGAAACAGAGGTGGCCCATCAGTCTTTAGGATTGAAATTTGTTTTGAGTCCATTTTATAAAAGTTAAAGACCTCTAGGCTTAATAATTGGGTTTTCAAAAATTCACAACTAAAAAGAAAAACCTCTTTTTCTTTCCAGATAGTGTATATTCTTTTTCCTTAAAAAAACCTAACTACATATTAAAAGGAAAAACTAACCAACATAATAAATGTTACTTCTCTCCTCAATTTCTGTGATTTTTTTTTTACATATTCGGAAGTCATAAGAGGTAAACAAATCTCCTATAATGAAGCAGTTGATGGCCAGTGAAAATGAATGGATGCAGCAAATATTTTGTTAACAATAACATAGCCACAAAATCATAGTACATATACAAAACTCTTAAAAATTATTAAAGGATGCCATGAGATAAAGCAGGAGAAAAAAAACACTGGTGAACAAAAACAATCAGATGCTCTGGAAAGAGTAAGGAGAAAAAGATGGGCATGAAAATTTATAGACAGTTTGAGGGTAGGTTTTCAAAGTGGCATGTGACAGAGCCAAGCACAAATCCTCTTACTTATTAACGGGATTTGTCCCTGTACCTGTCACACATTGCTTTGAAAATATCTGCCTCTGTGAAAGGTATACTGCTTCTCTCCGTCAGTTTTACTCTTAAGAGACTAATGTATAATCTCTTTAGGTTTCATCTTTTGTATTTCTGTGCATATGACAAATTGTTTTGAACACTCTTCATCCATACACATAAGAAAGTAGGCACTAAGGGCTTATCACTGCATATTTAAAAATCCCTGAGATACTATTTTCCTCATTGGAAATAATTGTTCTATTAAAATAATCTCTGGATTTATCACTGAAGAATTTTCAACTAATGCATTCATGTCTTGATGCCGTGAGGCAATTGTTCTCAACTTTATCTGATCCAGTTCCTCCTTTTTATAACAAATACTTTGTAACCCGTTTACTATAACAAAATGAAATTCATAGATATTATAACCACTTCAAGAATATCATAGAAAAAGTCAATACAATGCCCCAACTATAAAATAAAAGAAATAAAAAGAAACAACTTTGTAATATTAATAAAATAGTATATATTTTGAAATGTAAATATTCTAGCACTGCCACATAATGAAGACATGAAGTCAAGTGCTGATACATGTGCACAGAATCATGATAAATTTGCAAAGGCATCAGCCACTAATGCAAACTAAAGTAAGATTGTTGTATTGATGCAGCAAACACCATAGAGTTGCCATCAATGAACAACAATTGGTAAACTTCGAAATAACAATTTCCAATTAATTTATGAGAGAGTTTGATTTCTGAAAAGTTCATTACATATTAAACAATGTAAAAAATCTTCTAATTCCATGTAAATGAAAATAAAATCAAAGTGTGGATAATATTACATAGGTTTTTCAACCACATGAATGTCTGATAGGATACTCAAAAGTTCTGTGAGCATAGGAGAGTTTTTCAATGAGAGCCTCCCGCAAGCAAGCTGCAAATGTCTATCATCCCTTGACTCCACCCAGGAGTCAGTGGTGGCCCTGGCTCCACACCATGCAATTTTTATAAAAACCTAATACATCCCTGCAAGTTTCCAAGGTTTTCTTTAGGGTGTGATACTCCTCCCACTCCGTGAGAATCACTGTGATAAGATTACAAAGAAGGAGAATTATAACAAATAATGGTACCTGTACCTTTTTGTTTTTATTTCGTTTTCCCTTTACTAAAGTGAGGCAGAGCTTCACTTTAAAAAATCCATCATGCAACTGACATTGAATTTACATATTTGTGGCAGCAACACTCAAAAGAGTCTTCTCATCATAACTTTTAGTTAAAAATAAATGAACTTAGCACATGTATTAGGAACATTTGAGTGAAACTTACTTAATGGAGTATCACACATGATATGTTTGACTACTTAACTTTAAAATAGAAGAATAGACTTTTTCTTAGGAATTACATTCTATACACATAAACCATTTATCCAGACATGCACAAAAAAATATAATTTGTAAAGCAGAGGAAAAAAGGAGATGCAGAAGGAATATGGGAAAGAAAAGAAATAATGGTGAAAGCTGTTGTTTCAACGGAAAAATAACTTTGCACATGACATGATATGATGCTAGATTTATTATTCCATTTATCCATTTATCCTTAAAACAAACCAACCATAGACATTTACCTTAGAAATATAAAGTTGCTTATTTCTGTGCATACAGTTTTACAGAACCATGGATTGATGGTTTCGTAAGGTATCAGTCACACTTCCATAGCATTTGCTGATATAAATATAAAACCTTCATTTTAAAGGATAAATAAAGCCACACTATTATCTAAACAGGGTAAAATTTAACATCCTTGTGGTTTGTGGAAATTTTTGATGTGCCTGCTGGCTTTTCAATAAAAATCAATTATGCCTTAAATGCGAGCGGTAGTCAACATACTACAGACTATAAATTCAATTTCATACTCAGAAATATGGATTAGCTGAACTTGATGCCCTTCCATTGATTTCAGAAAGCAAAAGCTGATAAGGTAAATAATAGTAAGAGGCTCTCTGACACTCCACATCAAGTTCCGGATTTCCATATTATTTTTGTAGAATTCTGCAGTCACCACAATATCCTCCTTGTGAAATATGTATGATGAATAGATATTATATGGATTGCTGATTCATCTCCCCATACAGAATGGATATTTGGCTTTCATAAGTCAAGACAAGAACTGCACAGAAAAAAGAATATGCTTATTTCTCTAGGCTTACTGCAAGGTGTATGTCAACCGATCGTGAACAAATCCAGTGGGTAATTAGAACACACGGATTAAGCACTGAGATCCCACCTATAAATAAAAATTGTATAAACCAGGAGCAAATTGATATGCTTCAATTCTTTAATGTTTTATATGTGTGTGTATGTATGTGTATTTAGGTATGTATGTTTTTACATATATGAGATGGGGAGGGAGGGAGAGAGACAGAAAAATAAGAAAAGCATTTTTAAAAACTGAAAAACATCCAGTCTTTATGTTCATTCAAAAGAGCACCTTAAATTGGCAAGAATCTCATGGGGGAATCTTGAGAGGAGAGGAGAGGAAATAATTTGGTACTAAGGAATCTAAGGAATAATGATCATGAGGAAGAAATTTAGAGTAGTTTTTAGCATAATGGGAAATCCAATCACATCTGCAACAATTTTCTCCTTTTCTCCTTTAATGTGCAGAACATTTAGGTTTTATAGAACTGTTCAAGTCCACACTTTGAGCATTTTATGGCTTAGCCATTCTCTTTTTCAGTAAGCCTGGTGTGCTCAGCTTAAATCCTAAAGAGTTCTATAGAATATTTCATACACAGGCCCAGTCTCACCTTCCATCAAAACGAGTTCCTGCTTTCCTAACACAAACAAGGATTGCTTTGTCACACATCCAGAATGCCAACAGAGCAAAAGTATGACTCTTATTAGGTCAAAGATGTACATTCTTAAAAGTTCCCTGCAGCTTTCCTAGATGCCAGCATTTTGGAGATTTCATATAATCATTTTGGTAAAATCCATGGCCTAAGGTCTCTGCTATCTCAAAGAAATTAATTACACATGAATTTCTCAAGACAGAGGTAATTGACTTAAATACATTTATAGGTTATTTATTTCACTGAAGTATACTTATTTTTATTAAAGTATGCTAATCATGAAAGCAAGCTGGATAAAATCTTATAAATACCAAATGGGACACATCCTAAGGAAAATATTTCCAATGGTAAGTAATTTTTATATATTCATCCTTATAGTGTCTGTTAATCACTACAATCGTTTTTGAGAAAAGTGGTAACAGAGTTGTTGTGGATTCTTTTCACAAATAAGAAATTGTTTATATAAGAAAAACATAAAATCACAATAGGAATGGTACAATCTGATTTGTTGCCTTTTCAGTTATTTACTTGTCTGAGAAAAAAGTCAACAAGCATTTCTTTTCTGCAAATCTTAGAAATCTGTGTGCATGTATGTTTGTTTATGAATATACTTCTTTTCATAAGAGGGAATATAAGAGCAAACACATTTTCACCAATGTCTTTTCAATCTTACTTAAATTTAGTAAACAATATATATAGAAATTTTATTTTTCTTATACCAGTATACACTCAAACATCTGTAAAACATAAAGTTTCTCATAAATATGTACTATGTAAATTATAAAATTTTAAGTTTCAGTGTTTGAAATGAACGCTATCTTTGAAACCCATGTAATACAAAAATGCCACAACCAACAATTTTCATCATATGTTGTAACGGTGAATGAAGCCTATGAGGAAAAAGGCATCACACTGTTTATGAAAAAACAATTCTTGTAGATACACTTGGAAAACTGCAAACATTCATAAACAGTTACTCTTTGGGGATAGAGAAAAACTGCCATTAAACAGGTGTTAGAATTTAAATGACATCTCATTAGTGACTCCTTTTTGCAGCTCAGAGACAAATAAAACCTTCATTTAAAAGCATTAGTGCTATTCCTTAGGGTTTCTGGTATCATAATGTTTTGTTTTATGAAGATATTTAGTTTCTTCCAGCATTCTTGCTTATTTATACAAAATAAACCAATTGCATTTCTAAGTTTAGCTGAGTGTGAATTCAGGGGGTGAATAAGGCCCTTCCAATTGCTGTAAATACCCTTGCCCCTCCCTCCATTTCGGTGAGTCTGGGAGGTTGAAGCACAGCCTGATAAACAAAGGCATTTTTGAGCTTCACTTCCAGGCAGAGATTTAGCCCTTGCGTCCTTTGCCCTCAATTAAGGAACAGTCATATAAAACTCAGATTTTCTTGATGTCAGAGCCATTAACTATTTTTCCAATTGCTCTCAATGCAAAATGTGAAGCCATCTCTATAATTCAAGAATTATACCAGAGCATATAGCTATTAAAAATTACCTGCTAATTGAGTTTATCCCACTGCCACTATAGACTATCCTCACATAGACAACTTCAGATCCCAAAATGTGAACCCCAAGATTAGCACACAGAATGCAAGTCTCAATAGACAACCCAGGATTATAAGAATTCATTCATCTCATCATTTTGAAAAGTGACACACTCCAAAATTTAATTCAGCTGTCCGAGATCCTTGGAATTCAATTCATTGTAATTCTATACTGTATTTGGAGAAGTATCTACTAAGACAAACAGTGAAGAAACAATAAATTTCAAGTAGTTGCTTGCCATCAAATATGATAATTATTTTTCAGCACGACTGAGGAATTGCACTGATATGTTTTGGAAATACAAAGATAATTAGAACAGATCTGGCTCAACAAGAGCTTAAAAATGGAGCAAAGTTGGTGGTGAAAGAAGGGATAAGACAATCTACAAAGTTAGTGAAAAAAGAAGGTGTAAGACAATTGCCATATATCTATAATATTATTAGGACTATTGAACAGTTAGAAAATGCAAGGGGATGACATTCACAGAAGAAAAGATGACGCTGTATTCAGAGAGTCAGAAAAGGGGGTGGCACTTTAAATGGATTTTATGGGTGGGGATGATTTCATGAAAAGGGTAGGCCTGTGAAAATAC
Organism: Homo sapiens; assembly: GCF_000001405.40. Lineage (NCBI taxonomy): Eukaryota > Metazoa > Chordata > Mammalia > Primates > Hominidae > Homo > Homo sapiens. The sequence goes on along the minus strand of NC_000006.12, from coordinate 98,019,561 downwards.
AGGTTCTGTTCAAGGAATTTTTCAGGGGATTAAACTGGCCACGATATAGATGACCCTGAGTGCTAGGCAGAGTATCATATCTTGAATTTATGAGGGATAAGGAGTCTTTGAATCTTTTGAGAAGGAAAGATGAGAGGTCAAAGGAAAATGAGAAGTTAAATGTGGGGGAAATCATTAAAAGGCTGATTTTAGTGCCTAGACAAGAAGTTTGAAGGATCCATTCAGGAGATTAGTAGTGTGAAAAATAACAGTAAAGAGAAGTTATTCAAACTGTAGAGCTAGACTCTACTGAATGTGGCAAATGATTGAAAATAAGGAGTAACACATGACTCTGAAGACTCAACTCTTGACTGGCTCCAAGCAGAAGGAGGTGCTGGTTTAGAGGAGAAGTAGGAGGTGTTTTGGACATATTGAATATGAGGCATTAGCAGAGAATCTCAGTAGATAATGTCTGTTACATTTTCCAACTAAAAGTTACATTTTCTGTGGTGTTGTTCTTCAATATATTAGATTGTAGGATAATTATAGTGTCACAGCTTACACAGAAGGATTGAGAAAGAAGTCAGTGACTCCTGACCTAGAGAAAATCTGAGTTTTATGTGACTATTATTAATCTAATATTTAATGATAAAAGTGAGGCTGGAGATAGAAAATTATCTGTGATAGATTTGCCAGTACTCATCTGCATAGGGATGAAACCACAGGAGGCAAGAGGAGAAAATACAGAGATAAAAAACAAGTAAAAGGCAGAATCATGGAGACACATACACAAGCCAAGCCTGAAAACCTGAATTCAGTTTTACAGTGGACTAGGATGTATTCAATTATTGTTTATACATTTGATGAATACAAATAATATGAAATGATAAAATTACATATGAGCATTGCTTATTAAAATAATTGCTAAATATATCCCAGTTGATTTTGACAAGGTTATAACACTGGGATCATTTAAAATTATCATTGAATTCTCCTTCAATCACACAGCTTAAGCAAAATACAGGGCCCGGGGAAAAAAAAGGGAAGAACAGGGAGCCAAAGGCAGTTTAAACACATTAATTGACATTTATTTGAAAAGACCAAGTTGCAGGCTGTAAGAAAAAGAAAAAGAAAAGGATGTTTTAACTGAAATCAGCTTATATTATAAAATACATGACCCTTTGACCTAAACTACTCTAGGATAATTCTAGAACAGCAGAATATAAATATGTGTATGTGGGGCATTTAAAAGAGTCCCCTTTGAATATGATGAACAGATAACGCTTTCTTGTTCATTGGCTTTATTCTAGTACTCATCCAAGAAATGAATTTAAGTTTTATGGGAAGAATGAAATCAAAGAACAGAGAAAAAAGGTACATAATAAAATGCTTTGGACACCTATAAACACCAGGTAATTTGGTCTTTGTACTATGGTTAATGCTGAAACAGTGATTCATCTTACCTCTCTTGAGCTTCCTCCAGCTACATCTTACCTCCCTCCCTCCCCTTGCTACCTCATGGGCCATTTACCTTTAGCACCATCTCCTCTCAATACCAATTCACAGGTAAACCTGATCTCTGTTACTTACATCTTTACATAAGTTCAAGTCAACATGTAACTACTAGGCCTCATTCACTCTTCTGTACAGATTAAATGAGATGGTAATAATTGTTACAAATACATTGACATCTTTGGTTTACTATATCTTTCATATATATTATTTCACTAGATTTGTAAATCGTGAATTAGAAAAGAGTAATTCTGAGGCCATTTGCAGTTTGTCTTTTTTTTTTTTTTAGATTTTGATTATGCCTAATTGTCGATTAAAAATCTTTCCCAGGCTGAGGTGGGAGGATCACCTGAACCCAGGGAGGTCAAGGCTACAATGAGCCATGATCACGCCACTGCACTCCAGCCTGGGCAACAGAGTGAGACCTCGTTTCAAAAAATAAAATAAAAAAGAGAGAGAAAAAAAATCTTTCTGACTTCACAGAAATATTTGAGGGATATAGAACAAATGAAGATGTTTCATCAGTAGTGGGAATGATAGGGAAACCCCTAAAACCTCTCACACAACCCAAGAAACTGCCTGTTCTAGCCACCATATCTGTAACCAAGCAGCCATTGGCATGAGAAGTCCTACAGTGCGGGGGATCTAGAGCTCTGTAGCGGTTGCCAGAGCAGACTGTCCCCTATTTGGGTTAAAAAAAAAAAAAAAAAAAAAAGAAGGTAATTCTGCAATACAAAGTTAAGCATCTCATGGCTTAATCATAATGGGATTTGTCCTGACTGTCTTAAATTTCTCCTTCCTTAATTTCTTCTCCTTGGCGGGAAAATCTTAATTCTTTAGTTTTCTTGCCCTTTGTTCTCCATCTTCCTACCCTGACCCCTATCAATATCTTTACTTAACTGGCTCATTTATGTTAAGTTGTAAATGATGGTAACCTTAATGACTTGCCTGGCTTTGTGACCACAAAGTCTTCTCTACCAAGAGCCGAGACCTCTTGATCCTCAGTCCAGGCTCTAGGCACTGGAACTAGTGCTAGTTGGACAGATTTTAGGGAGCCTTCTCTCCTTAGATCTGACAGGCTGTCAGATCAAGCTGTCATTCTGTCGGTTGTTCTCTGACCTTGTACTTTTCTGTGCCCAAACCTCCATGTAAGCCTCCTTTTCCAGGATCTGGGTCTGGTTAGTCCTTGCCCTTACACTGGTAACATTTTTGACACAGGACAATGAGTTACAACTTGTAACCTCACCGCTATGAAAATTCACTCCCAGGCTGTGGCCTGGTCACTTGCTCCCCTTATCTCTACTCTGTCTACTTATCCTCACTCCTATTTACAAATAAGAAAGTCAGATGCCAAGAGGTTATGTAACCTGATCAAGGTTATTTAGCTAACAGGTGTCAGAGCCAAGATTCAAATCCAGATCTGATGAACTGTAAGTCCATGTTCTTTTCCCCACGTCCCCAACTCACACACGCACTAACGATGTTTCCCCCTGAAAAAGATACTTTTCATGACAAACTGCAAGAACCGGCATCACAATTCTCAAATAAAGACAAAATAAACGTAAACTAGAAGATTAGACATGCAATAATATTGCTGCAAAAACATAGATAAGCTTAGGATCTCAGGGCATTTAATTCCATAATTCTCCTTCACACAGCTTTTTCCGAAGACATTGAAGTCCTACTTTAGAAATACTTAGAAAGCTTTTTTTTCACATTTGAAAATATGCACTTTTGTGAAGAGCTAATTTCTGACATTATTCAATCCTTGTATTTCACCCCTTAAGATTTGTTTAGATATGATCAAGTGTATTTTTAAAATATTAATATAAAGTCACCTGGGTATTTTTCTTATTAGAGATTTTCATATATTTCCATACATCTGTCTCAGTTTTACCATAGAAAATTATTTTCTGAAGTTTTCACGTATTTTTTCTCATACACAAGAAAAAAAAAGACCCCAAATAATTACCAGTACATTAAAAATTCTACACACTCTTAGATGTAACTGGTTTCCTCCTTAATTAAAGCATTGCCCTGAGTGTTGGGTGGATGAGAGTCCCACCTGAAATGAAATACTGGGAGACAGAGTGCTTTCTCCATTAAAGAAGTAAATTCAGAATAATACCTTTTACTGGGTAAAACTTTTTAATAATCATATCAAAGGAAATAAAACTTTTTGTCTTTTAAAAATAAAATTCAGTGTCTCATTTCATTGATTTTCAATAAATAGTTCTAATATAGTTGTCCAATTATGTGTTGTAAATAAAATTAAAACTATAGATAAGCAGCAAGGCAGGCAAAAAATCACTAAATTAAAAATATGTCTGAAGTCGAATTCATCCCAAATTCTCTCTTATTAATAAACTGTTTTGTATTCTCTATGAAAACATACACAAGTGCAGAACTTTAAGTTTCTTGTAATAAGAAAAAATAGTCAAAGTTCTCACTTTTTATTTTTAAACTTTCTAAAACACTGTTAACCCTTCTCATTCATATTATCTAATAATTTCCAACTGTTTAGAAATATTATGAGAAACTTCCCCTACAACAACAATAATAACAACCAGCTTTCTAAGAAGCTAAATTGTTTCATCACTTTTGTTTAAATCACAAATGCATTCCTCAGGAACGTTTGCATTCCATGCCTTTGTTGTATACTCCAGGCAACCAAAGTTCTTAATTTTGAAACTGGTATGAATATTCCTTGGTATTATACCACAAATAAGCAAAGATCCATTCCAAGCAGGCTTTCTGCTTTTTCTCCCCCTTTCTTTCTTCCTTTTTTTTTTTTAAAGGGGGGAAAACTGTTCTATATCGACAACCATCTGTGAGCCTGTCTTTCAGGCCATCAAACTCTCCCATCCATTACGGAGCCTTCCTCACCTCCGCTACATGACAGCACAATAAAGATGACATACTAATTCAATGACTTGTAATTTCAGTTAAACAAAGACAAGTGCTGCAGCTTCTTCTTTTGTGTTAACAGTGCCATATCGGTGAAGCCAGCTATGCAAACATAGCACTGGGAGGGTTTTATGACAGCAGTTGAATGGGGAGACTGGCTTGGTGTTGCTTTTTATGGTTTTTGGCTCCATAATTTTTGGCTCTGTGCTGCTGGCCATGGCTATTGTGTCTGGATTCTGTGTCAGCAGCAGCTAATTGTTCCAATAATGTTTATCATAGGGATCCACCAGGGAGCTGTATATGTGGAGATAAGCTACAGGGCAATGATACACACTATCTTACTGATCTCTATACACAGTGCTTTTGCCTCATGCCAAAAAGCTTTTTAGGTTTCCAGTCTTAAAAAAAAAAAAAATAACAGCTTAATCATCGTGCCAACAATAGTGTCTAAGGGGATGTAATCAGGTTCCTCTGATAATCTTAGCAACACATGAAAGTCATGCGCAAAAGCAGTAATTGAAGCAGTTGGTTCATTCTACCACCTGCTGTTGAAGTCACAGGTTAATCTAAATGAGGTCCCCTTCCGATGAAGCAGTATGCAAGGCACTTTTTATATCATAAATGTGCATTACAGAAGCTTTACAAAATAATAAAGTAACAGTTCATTCAATGAACTGTATGAAGTATCTTAGGCTTGTCCAGCTTCTCCCACTGCTATTAGATGGCATATCCAAGTGTAAATTCTGTCCACATGTCTATACCCCAATGCACACTTCAGTTTGCATATGGTTGCAGACAATGGGAGTTCCTGAGACAGATGCCCAAATGTAACTAAACGTCAGGCAATCACAGGAATCAGCTGCAGGAAAGTGAAATATTTTTCTTTGTCTGCTTTTGATGCTATTTCCCCCAAGATTACTAAATAGAATGTTGACAATGTAAAAATAGCTTTAGAATCAACAATTAAGCAGCTTGCCATAGTCTACATTAGCCCCATGTATAAGGGATGAATTTTTCTAATTAAACTTCTGACACCTGATTTCCATTTAAAATTTTCCTTAAATGTTTTCCATAAAGTCTTCATCTGACAAAAAATTCTGAAATTATGTAGTATGTTGTTCTTCTAATAGGCAATGTCTTTAACAAAAGTGATTTTTAAAAATCGTGAAACTTGTCAAAGTAAGATTCTAAGGGAAATTTTTAAGCATAAATGACACTTTCAGATTAAAACTTGTGCCTGATTTTAATCTATTTCATGAATACACCATTTATTGAGAACCTACTCACTGTCAGATACTAAACCAGGTAACATTATTTTATTTGGGTTTCACATCCATTCTCAGAAAACGTCATTATGTCTGGAAAAGCTGAGAAAGCCAAGTTTCAGAGAGATTCATAATAATCTAAGTTCCTGGGCTAATAAGTGGCAATGTTAAGATAGGAAACAAATTCAGCCTGAGTTCAAAGCATGCATGTATTCCACCAAGATAAACTGAAATAATTCACTTAGTATAAAAGAAAGTTAAGAAAAATGTTTGAGTAGAGAGAGAAATTTTAAGTTAGTTATCCACAGTACTATGATAAAAGAAAATAAATTTGATTTATTTTGATTTTTTAAAATAAGTCATGTTTACTAGGATTGGCTTATTACTGGATTTAGTAGCCTGTGTGTGGGGATGAAATAGACATTGTTATAAGACCAGGAACAATTTTCAATAAATTGAAAATAGAACTTCATTAATTTAACCTAATTCGGGAACACAAGATGATATTAAATAGTTAACAGAGTGATTATAATATTGAATATACATAATAAATGTTTGCCAAATTTTTCATAAATGAATGAAGTAATGAAATAATATTAATAAATGCAACCATAGAAGCTTCTGTATTTAGGAATGCTTACCACATGCCAAGCAACATCTTAGTAGTTCACATGTGTTTTGTCTTGCATCTTCACACCAATCTGCTAAATCTGGAATAATTATCTCCATTTTACAGGTGATGAAACTGAGGCTCTGAAATCCTAGATCACTTGTTCATGGTTACATTAGCAGGAAAATGGGAGAATGAGGATTTGAGTCCAAGATAATATGATGACTCAAAGCTCTTGTCTGGACATTAATAAACACACTTGAAAAATTAAAATTATCTTTGGTTGTCAAAGATGCTTTACATGGCCTCCAAGGATAGCAGCCCTCTGTCCACAGAAGTACTCAGAAAAATCACATTAAACATCATAGGAATAATTTAGTTCAGGCATTTGGTAAACTTTCTTTACTGCTGGAATGTGGCACTAAGGATTATTAAGAGCTGGAATGTGGAGAAGGCTGGAGGATATTCTTTGAATATTCTAGAGATCTTTGAAAACAAATTTTATTTATATCTGTCTTGATAATTTTGCATGGAAGCTGGAATAGTAATGTAGATGATTTTCAAAGGTATATGTAGGACAAAGTTCCTGTAACAATTGGATGCAAACTCATCTAGAAGTTCTTTTGTAATAGATAATAAATCAGTTGAAGTCTACAAACAACAACAAAATTGTCTCCAGCTTTCAATATCACATTGAAGAATGTTTTATGAAGTCACCTATCATAAAAGGTACATTTGTGAACCTTCAGTATTAATCTTCTATCAGTTGAGGCCTGAAGAGGATTCATTATGGCATTCTGTTTGGATAAATCAAAACAAAAACAAAGAACAAAATGGAAAGGTAAAACTCTTTCCCCTAAACAGCTTCTTTTGGAGAAGTTTTTGTTTGTTTTCCTTTTCTATGATATAATGTTTTCATATACAATTATTTCAATATACCTGCCACTACTTTAAAACAATTAGCTCATCACTTAAAGTCCACTCACCTATACCTACAGTTACTGGAATAGAATAAATTATGAAATTTGCACAGAGGTTTATCTATAACCAATTCCTACCAGTCCTTTAATATGACCCTTTTTTAAATCACACTTTATTTGGTCTGCTTAACTGTAATCTGTTACTGGAAATATATGTTTGACAAAATGTATAAAATAATAGTCTGTCATTTTCAACTCTTTCTTTTACATTTAAAACTAAACATATTAGCCTTTTAAAATACTACTAAAATTCAGGGCTTCTGATTTCTGGTTCTGCATGGAAAGCACTTAGAAGTCATCTCTCAATCTTGACAAATAAGAAACTAAACAAAATGAAAGATCAACAACTCTCCTTAAATCCGTCACAGAAATGAGGTCACAGGACAAACCACTGCCCCCAAATTGGAGTGAAAGTTAGACAAATGCAGAAAATCACAATTTACCTCGGTATAAACCCATGAAAAAAAAACAAGCATGAGAATCAGTAAGGGGAAAGGAAAGCCAGAACTGTAATTAATAAACTACTGGATGCTCAGTGAGGAGAAGTCTGAGAGTTAAAAACTCCAGGGTGACCCAGTCTTAGAGGAAGTCACACATTAGCTCCACCTCCAGAATCTTACCAGGTCCTCACAGTGAATATTAGAGAAAAATTCCCTTGTGCTTCTAGCAGGAGGAGGGGAAAAGAAATCATTTTAAAACATGTTAGGTCATTCTGTTCTTCTTAAGTATGCCTTAAGAAGGAAAGTTATCAGATATAAAAAGGGTCATTGCATAATTTTAAAGGGTTCAATTGTCATAACAATAACAATAGCATAACAAGACATAACAATCCTTAATGTGCATGTTCCTAAATACAGAGCATCAAAATATATGAAGCAAAAACTGAGTGAAAAATAAGGAGAAATAGGTTAATTATTATAGTTGGAAAATGTAACACCCTTGTATCAGAAATGGAAAAATTCAGGAAGCAGAAATTCTTCATGGACATAGATGAATTTAACAGCATTATCAAGCAACTGGATATTATTGACATCTCTAGAATGCTTCACTCAACAACAGCAGATTCTTCTCAAGTTCATGTGAAACACTGACCAATATAGACCACATTATGGGACATGAAATACACTCTAACAAATTTAACATAAAAGAAATTATATGATGCCTTCTCCCAGACCAAAATAGAATTAAACTAGAAATTAATGATAGAAAGATACAAGGAAAATCCTCAAAGACTTGGAGACTAAACAACATATTTCTAAATAACACATGGTAATAAAGAAGAAAAGAGAGAAGAATCAAATAGATGCAATAAAAATGATAAAGGGGATATCACCACCAATCCCACAGAAATAAAACTACCATCAGAGAATACTATAAACACCTCTATGCAAATACACTAGAAAGTCTAGAAGAAATGGATAAATTCCTTGACACATACACCCTCCCAAGACTAAACCAGGAAGAAGTTGAATCTCTGAATAGACCAATAAAAGGCTCTGAAATTGAGGCAATAATTAATAGCTTACCAACCAAAAAAAGTCCAGGACCAGATGGATTCACAGCTGAATTCTACCAGAGGTACAAGGAGGAGCTGGTACCATTCCTTCTGAAACTATTCCAATTAGATAGAAAAAGAAGGAATCCTCCCTAACTCATTTTATGAGGCCAGCATCATCCTGATACCAAAGCCTGGCAGAGACACAGCAAAAAAAGAGAATTATAGACCAACAACCCTGATGAACATCAATGCAAAAATCCTCAATAAAATACTGGCAAACCGAATCCAGCAGCACATCAAAAAGCTTATCCACCATGATCAAGTGGGCTTCATCCCTGGGATGCAAGGCTGGTTCAACACATGCACATTAATAAACGTAATCCAGCATATAAACAGAACCAACAACAAAAACCACATGATTATCTCAATAGATGCAGAAAAGGCCTTTGACAAAATTCAACAACATTCATGCTAAAAACTTTCAATTAATTAGGTATTGATGGGACGTATCTCAAAATAATAAGAGCTACTTAAGACAAACCCACAGCCAACATCATACCGAATGGGCAAAAACTGGAAGCATTCCCTTTGAAAACTGGCACAAGACAGGGATGCCCTCTCTCACCACTCCTATTCAACATAGTGTTGGAAGTTGTAGCCAGGGCAATCAGGCAGGAGAAAGAAATAAAGGACATTCAATTAGGAAAAGACGAAGTCAAATGGTCCCTGTTTGCAGATGACATGATTGTATATCTAGAAAACCCCATCATCTCAGCCCAAAATCTCCTTAAGCTGATAGGCAACTTCAGCAAAATCTCAGGATACAAAATCAATGTGCAAAACTCACAAGCATTCTTATACACCAATAACACACAAACAGAGAGCCAAATCATGAGTGAACTCCCATTCACAATTGCTTCAAAGAGAATAAAATACCTAGGAATCCAACTTACAAGGGATGTGAAGGACCTCTTCAAGGAGAACTACAAACCACTGCTCAATGAAATAAAAGAGGATACAAACAAATGGAAGAACATTCCATGCTCATGGGTAGGAAGAATCAATATTGTGAAAATGGCCATACTGCCCAACCTAATTTATAGATTCAATGCCATCCCCATCAAGCTACCATGACTTTCTTCACAGAATTGGAAAAAACTACTTTAAAGTTCATATGGAACCAAAAAAGAGCCTGCATTGCCAAGTCAATCCTAAGCCAAAAGGACAAAGCTGGAGGCATCATGCTACCTGACTTCAAACTATACTACAAGGCTACAGTAACCAAAACAGCACGGTACCGGTACCAAAACAGAGATATAGATCAATGGAACAGAACAGAGCCCTCAGAAATAATGCCACATATCTACAACTATCTGATCTTTGACAAACCTGACAAAAATAAGAAATGGGGAAACGATTCCCTATTTAATAAATGGTGCTGGGAAAACTGGCTAGCCATGTGTAGAAAGCTGAAACTGGATCCCTTCCTTACACCATATACAAAAATTAATTGAAGATGGATTAAAGACTTAAATGTTAGACCTAAAACCATAAAAACCCTAGAAGAAAACCTAGGCAATACCATTCAGGACATAGGCATGGGCAAGGACTTCATGTCTAAAACACCAAAAACAATGGCAACAAAAGCCAAAATTGACAAATGGCATCTAATTAAGCTAAAGAACTTCTGCACAGCAAAAGAAACTACCATCAGAGTGAACAGGCAACCTACAACATGAGAGAAAATTTTTGCAATCTACTCATCTGACAAAGTGCTAATATCCAGAATCTATAATGAACTCAAACAAATTTACATGAAAAAAAAACAGACAACCCCATCAAAAAGTGGGTGAAGGATATGAACAGACACTTCTCAAAAGAAGACATTTATGCAGCCAAAAGACACATGAAAAAATGCTCATCATCACTGGCCGTCAGAGAAATGCAAATCAAAACCACAGTGAGATATCATCTCACACCAGTTAGAATGGCGATCATTAAAAAGTCAGGAAACAACAGGTGCTGGAGAGGATGTGGAGAAATAGGAACACTTTTACACTGTTGGTGGGACTGTAAACTAGTTCAACCATTGTGGAAGTCAGTGTGGCAATTCCTCAGGGATCTAGACCTAGAAATACCATTTGACCCAGCCATCCCATTATTGGGTATATACCCAAAGGATTATAAATCATGCTGCTATAAAGACACATGCACACGCATGTTTACTGCAGTACTATTCACAATAGCAAAGACTTGGAACCAACCCAAATGTCCAACAATGATAGACTGGATTAAGAAAATGTGGCATATATACACCATGGAATACTATGCAGCCATAAAAAATGATAAGTTCATGTCCTTTGTAGGGACATGGATGAAGCTGGAAACCATCATTCTCAGCAAACTATCACAAGGACAAAAAAACAAACACCGCATGTTCTCACTCATAGGTGGGAATTGAACAATGAGAACGCATGGACACAGGAAGAGGGAACATCACACACCAGGGCCTGTTGTGGAGTGGGGGGAGGGGGGAGGGATAGCATTAGGAGATATACCTAATGTTAAATGACGAGTTAATGGGTGCAGCACACCAACATGGCACATGTATAGGTATGTAACAAACCTGCACGTTGTGCACATGTACCCAAAAACTTAAAGTATAATTTAAAAAAAAATAAGTAACACATGGGTCAGAGAAGAAAGCTTAAGAGAAATTTAAAAATATTTTGCACTAAATGAAAATTAAGATGCAAGTTATCAAAATTTGTAAGATTCAGCAAAAGCAGTGCTTAGAGGGAAATTTATAACATTGAATGTGTATATTAAAAAAGAAAAGTTTTAAAATCAATAATCTAAGCTTATAATTTAGTAATGTGGAAAAAGAACAAATTAATTCAAAATAAAAGAAAAAAGTAATAATAAAAATAGAGCAGAAATGAATAGAATTTAAAACAGTACATCAGTGAAGAAAAGGAACAAAACCAAAAGCTGTTTTTTTGAAAAGATCAACAAAATTTTTAAGTCTCTAGCCAGGCTAACTAATGAAAGAGTAGGCATTACTACAGATTCCATAAACATAAAGGGATCACAAGGGAATATTATGAGCAAATCTATGCCTACAAATTTGATATCCCAGATTAAATAGACCAAATTATTGAAACACACAAACTGCCAAAACTCACACAAGAAAAAATGAATATCTCTGAATAGGCCTATATCTATTTAAAGAAATTGAATCAATTAATAACCTTCTAAGACAGAAACCACCAGGCTGAGATGGATTTAATGATGAATGCTACCAAACAGCTAAGAAAAAAATTACACCAATTTTCTACAGTCTCTTCCAGAAGACAGAAGCAGAGGGAGTGTTTCCTACCAAGGAGTATGAGGCCAGCATTATCCTAATATCAAAACCAGAGAAAGTCATTACAAGAAAGAAACAGCAGACAAGTATCTCTCATGGACATATGTGCAAAAGCTCGAATATTGCCTCAGAAAATATTAGCAAAGCAAATCAAACAATGTAAAAGAATAATGATGCACCTAGAACAAGTGGGTTTTATCCTAAGTATGCAAGGCTGGTTCTACATTAGAAAATCAATTAATGTACTCCATCACATCAATGGGCTAAAGAAGAAAAATAAAGTGATCATATCAAAGGATGCCACACCCCTGTATAATATCGGAGAAAATGCAACACCCGGTGTATCACAAAAACTCTCCACAAACTAGAAATAAAGACAAACTTCTTCAAGTTAATTTAAAAGAGCTATAAGATAATATAGCTAACATTGCATTTAATGGTGAGAGACTTTAAGCTTCACTTCCAAGATTAGGAAGAAGACAAGGATGCTTCCTCTTTTCAACATGATACTAGAAGTACTAGCTAATGCAATAAAGGAAATAAAAAGCATACAGATTGGGAAGAAAGAAACAAAACTGTCTTTGGTCACGGATGACATGATTGTCTATGTAGAAAATCCAAAAGAATTGACAAAAGAAATCCCACTAGAACTAATAAGCAGTTATAGCAAGAATGCTTAATATAAGTTTAACATACAAAAGTCAGTTGCTTTCCTCTATACCAGCAATGAATAAGTGGAATTTGAAATTAAAAACACATTACCATTTACATGAGCAACCCCTCAAAATAAAATACTTAAGTATAAATAAAATAAAATACATATAATATCTATATGAGGAAAAGCACAAAATGATGACAGAAAGCAAAAAATTAAATGGAAATATATTCCATTTTCATGGATAGGAAGACTCAATATTGTCAAGATGTCAGTTCCTCCTAACTTGATCTACAGATTCATTGCAGTCCCAATTAAAATTCTAGCAGCTATTTTCTATTTTCTGTATATTAACAAATGGATTCTAATGTTTACTTGGAGAGGCAAAAAACCCAAAATAGACAAAATAATATTGCAAAGAACAACAAAGTTAGGGGACCAACAATACCTGACTCAAGACTTACTTTACCACAGTAATCAAGACATGTGGTAAAAGAATAGACAAATAGATCAATGGAACAGAACAGAAAACCCAGAAATAGTCTCACAAAAATATAGTTAACTGATTTTTGGCAAAGAACAAAGATAATAAAATGGATCAAAAATAGTCTTTTCAACAAATGGAGCTGGGACAAATGGAAATTTACATGCAAAAATAAATAAATAAATAAATAGATCCTGTCACAGACTTTATACCCTTCACAAAAAAATACACTTAAAATGAATCATGACCCTAAATGTGAAAAGCAAAACTATAAAACTTCTTGAAGATAACATAAAAAAATTATGTCAACTGGGGTATGGCTTTTTAATAAAACACCGAATGTACGATCCCTGAAAGAAATACTTCATATATCTGGACTTACTTAAAATTTAAAACTTCCCTCTGCAAAAGATACTGTTAAGCAAGTGGGAAGACAAGCTACAGACTGGGAGAAAATTTCTGCAAAGGACACAACTGATAAAGGTCTGTTATCAAAGATATACAAGATATTATAACACTCAATGATAAGAAAACAATTTGACTCTATAATGGCAAAAAACCTGAATAGATTTTGCTTCAAAGAAGATATATAAATGGCAAGTGAGCATAGAAAAAAGTGCTTCACATCAATATGCCATTAGGGAATTGCATATTAAAAGAACAATGAGATACCATTACACACCTATTAGAATGGCCCATATCCAAAACACTGACAATACCAAATGCAGACAAGGAAGTGGAATAACAGCAACATTGCTGGTGGGTATGCAAAATGATACAGTACTTTGGAAAGTTTCTAACAAAGCTAAACATTCTTTCACCATATGATCCAGCAATCATGCTCCTTAGTATTTACCCATATTAATGGAAAAGTTATATCCACACAAAAACCTGCAAATAGACATTTATAGCAGTTTTATTTGTAAATGCCAAACCTTCAAAACAACCAAGATGTTCTTCAGTAAATGAGTGGATAAAAAACTATGGTACATCCAGATAATAGAATATTATTCAGCAATAGAAAGAAAAGAGCTACCAAGCCATGAAAAGACATGGAGAAAATATAAATGCTTCTTACTAAGTGAAAGAAACCAATTTGAAGAGGCTACATACCATATGATTCCAATTATACAGCATTTTGGAAAATTCCGAACTGTTGAGACAGTAAAAAGATTAGTAGTTGCTAGGGGTTGGGGAAGAAACTGGTGAACAGGCAGAGCACAGAGAATTTTTAGGGAGTGAAAGTACTCTGTATGATACTACAATGGTGGGTACACTTCATGTCATTTTACATTTGTCAAAATCCATAGAATGTACAACACAAAGAGTGAACTCTAATGTGAATTATAGACTTTAGGTACTGTGTGTCAATGAAGGATAATCGATTGTAGCAAAAGTACCACTCTAGTGCAAGATGTTGTGGGTGTGTGCAGACAGGGAGTCTAAGGGAACTCTCTATGTACTTCCCATACAATTTTTCTGTAAACCTAAAACTGTTCTAAAATATAAAGTCTATTAATTATTTTTAAAAGTAAAGGAGTTTAAAAAATATTAATAGAAAAAGAAATCTCTCCCTTAGTTATCACGCAACCTAGGTAAAATGTAAATCAAACTGCATCATTCTCCTGCTGAAAACCTCTTAATGACTCCCCACTGCTTACCTGAGCAAGCATGGTACATGCACCTTCAGTATGACCTGAGATGATTTAAAGTGCAACATGGATAAACATTTTCTAAATTTTAATTGTAATGTACTTATTGTAAAGTGTATTACAAATATAAAACTAGAATAACAAAAAAAGTAGAAGTTGAATAACCATTTGCTGATTCTCTTAATCAGGCTTTTAATTTTCATGCAATGGTATCCCACACATTGCTGAATAATCTTTTAACAGCTCAGTTTCCTTATAAAACATTCATTTTCTTCCCTTAATATCTATGATAAAATTAGGGGTATTTTGTGCTACTAAGGGGAGAATTTTAACCACGTGAATGTTAAGGCAGTTAACATTTTTAAATGATCTAGGTTATAGACTAAGTTCCACACAACAACATAAAATGTTTTATAGTGCTCAAAATATTTAAAATGATTTAAAATAATCATAAAACAAGCACAGCAGCACATAAAAATATATTAGACTGACAAAAAATAGAACTTTCTTATACTTGGTAAAATCAAATTAAAACTTTTACTTTTTAGTCAGCCTTTAACAACTCAAATGCTTAAAGAAATTATATTTAAGGTAATTATATATATATAAATGAAATACATTTATTTTATAAATAAAATATATAAATGTATATAGCTAGTGTTTATATAAATATAAATCTTATTTATATATAAATAAAATTATGTATATAATTTTATATATATCTTTTTTGTAATTTTATTATATCTTTAATTTATTGGCTTTTTGCTACTGGTTTAACTGTAATAATATACATTGCTATGCAGTTGTAGCATAATTTTTCCCTTGCATGGAAAGATAGTAGTTACTATAAGAAAGGTTAAAATTTCCAGTCCTTGCAAATTTGAAACGACTGGAAATTTTAGAATTTGGAAAGATCCAGAAATGAGAGAAACAGTTCCCTTCTTTCATCGCATGATAGTATTGTTAAATAAGAGGAGACTCCATCCATTAAGGAGTATAAAATCATTCCTAACCAAGGTGAGCAAAGTACTGACTGGTCTTAGATAATAAGTGGTTATGAAATAATTTTTACTTCATAAGAACACTATTTTACTTTTTCTTCAGCTTCTATTTTGGAGCCTATGTCTCTGTCCTTTCATATATGCACTAGACTAAAACAACAGAAACGACATCAGTGTCCCCTTCTTATCCTTGGCACAGAGCCACATGATCACATACACTACTACATAGTAGATAATTTAATAAAAATGCACAGAAACAAACACTTTTAATTTAAAATCTTTTACAAATCTCTTTTAAATCTGTCAATTTTATACATATCTTGTTTCTCATTAAGATGCAACAATGGTAAGATTGCTTTATATATACCATTATGATGTCATCTCTTATACATATACATATTACATATGCAGTATATAAATCTTTCAAGGGGAATCACAGTCGTGACCCACAATATTTCACTGATGTTTTAACACTATGTGTATAAAAGCTATGCTGAATATACTAGTCCTTGATTTTCCATTACATTAAATGTATGTAGTACACTACTTTTCTTTGTCTCAGCCCCAAGCTTGTTTAAAATGTGTCTCCATTTTGATAGTTCTTCAATTGTGCCTCTCTTTTTCATGGGAATAATTTCAAAACAATATTTTCTGGGTGTTAGATTTAAGTATTAGTCCCAATTCTGCACCCTTCCCTTCATTCGCTCTCTTTTCTATGTGAGTTTACAGTCCCTCCCACTAGAGGTGGAAGGTACTTCCCCACCTTGACTTTTGACTTGGTCATGTGACTTGTGTTAGCCAAAGAAATGCAGCAGAAATGATAATTTGCTGGGTGTAACTCTTAACTGAGGATACATTGTGTGTTTCTGCTTGTTCAGCCCTCTGCAATCACTATGATAGCTGCTTCCCTCAGCCTGGAAACCAGAATAAATTCAATTAGATTCAGAATTAGTCTAACCCATATATATCAAAGAACCAAGTCCAGCCAGGTCTGTAACATAAAGTAGAGCCACCTAATTAAGCCCAGCCTAGATCAGCCAACCTCAGCTATCCTGCAGATGTGTGAATAAAAATACATGATTGTTATTTTAAGCCACTGAATTTTGAGGTAGCATGTTACATTGCAGCACTATGGTGGATATACCTCCTGACAAATGCACTCAGCAAACCTGCAGCAATCTTGTGAGGTTCTACCTAGTAACAGTTGTAGGGCTAGAGTTAAGATTGAAGAAGCAAGCACAGTTGTGGAGACATGGCATTTCTTCAGCTGCCAAAGCTTCTGGTTCCATAAGTGTTGATGTGCAGGGAGCAAAAACAGGTGAACTTCCATAAAATTTATTTTTTTCTGGTATGGTTCAGTATTACTAGCTTAGAGGCATTCAAGCCTGGTACACTTGGTCTTCCCAGTAATTCTATAAGCTAATTGATACCCCAAAATAAATAGTTTTCCACTAATTAACTAGAGTACATTATGTTGCCTGCAGCTAAACCTTGAATAGAGACAATAATTAACTTGACCTAACTTTTACTTAAATTTTTATTTGAGAATTTTGTCCTTTTTAATTTATATTATTTTTAAGTAGTGAGATACCAATCAGATAATCAGAATTCAAGGCCCAAGTCTATGTTTAGTCAATTATTCAGTCTTGGGTAAATCATATAAACTCCCCAATCCCCACTTTCCTCATCGGTAAAATGTGGAAAATAATTAGCAACTGCTTCCAGAAAGCATTGTTATGAATAACATATTATATTATTAAAAGTCACTTTAAATACTTTTAAATAAGATCAGGATATATATATATACATATATATATATACACACACACACACATATATATATACACATATATATACACATATACACATATATATACACATATATATATACACACACATATATTTATGTATGCACATATTCAAATGTATGTGTATGTTTACTGTCACTATCACCTCTAATGCACTGAAAAAAGTGAACTGTGGGTTTATTTCTATTTCAAACTTGTTTCCAATTAGGAGAACTTTTTTTCACAGTTTATGATCTCAGCTACTATGTGGTCTATTTTCATTTTCTGGTTTTAGACCAATAGAAAGGGTAGTATTATGAAACATGGTATGATGCCTAATTCATTCCCTAATCTATAATGCTCACTTGCCAATAGAAAAAAAATGAAAGAGATGTGTGCTCGATGTAGAATGAAAAAAAAAATTATAAATAACCAAGCAACTGTGAGTAATTTTAAGTTATGAAAAGTAAAACCTTAGAGATGACTTTCAGATTTTGGTTTCCTTATTAATATTCATTTTTCTCCAATAGTATATGTCTGCAAATGGCTGGAATTAATAATTAATCAAAATGTGATATCTTGTGAATACACATAGGAAAATAGTTTTAAAGACTTTAAAACATAAACTGCTCATATGTAATAAAAATAATATTTTTAATATTTTATCTCATTTTTATAACTTTATAGAGAAAGGGAGGTATATAAATGGCAATGATTTTCAGTTCTGTTTCACTGGAACCCATCTGAACATAAAGACTAGAAACAAAATATGCTCTTACCAGTAGAACTGTCACCAAGCATGAGAGTGATGTCATCCCCCGGTAATTGTTACCCCAATGTTTAGTACCTAGTGATTACTGCTTCAACCAAAATCTGGTGAGCCTTATTCCATGCCTAGCATATAACGGCCAGGGAAAAGGTGGAATAAGTAGATAAGGTTCAAGCTCCAATGTAGCTTACATTCCAGTTGAAAAAGACAGACAGGAAGCATGTATACAAGTAAATAATGTAAGTTCAGATGAAAATATTTTGAAAAAAGTAAAATCAGCTATCACTATAGAGAATAAATAGGT
The DNA here is from genome assembly GCF_000001405.40 of Homo sapiens. Classification (NCBI taxonomy): domain Eukaryota; kingdom Metazoa; phylum Chordata; class Mammalia; order Primates; family Hominidae; genus Homo; species Homo sapiens. The sequence continues at coordinate 98,000,791 of NC_000006.12, read as the reverse complement.
AATAGAAGTAGGCAATAAAGTCATTTTTGAGAGGGTGCCATTTGAGATGAGACCATGATGGCAGATTTATAGCACATTCAAATGCTTTCTACTGTAGAAATAACTCTGTAGAGGGATAACATAAGAACTGATTAAAACCAGTTTCACTCAAAATAAATTTGTCCAAGATTTGGAGAGGGTTGTGGGTAGAGATGGCCGGAAATAATAAGAACATTTCAAAAGTAAGTACACATATTTAAAATTCTGATATATGGACAACTACGCCTGAGGTAAGCCAGACCTGAATGTAAATTTCTTTCTGATGACATCAGAGTGGCCTTGAGCAAGTCACTTCATCTCTCTCACAGGATCTACTTCACAAACTTGGATTCAAGACTCTAAGACAGTCATAGCCTTGTTACAAGGTGAAAACCACTTAATTATAAAAATGTAACAGACAAGTTTGCATATGCTTGTTCCACTGAAAATAATTAGAGGAATACAAAATAGAAAAATGATATGGCTAAGTTTTTGATAAAAGATAAGTGATGAAAAGTGATGAACAGGATTTAGATTTTATATAGGAGTCATTAGGAAGTTCAAATCAGTAGAGGCAGCAGACTCCACTTTCTCTACAGACATCCCTCTGTTGTAGCTTTGGATATACCTGCTATAGGGTCATACTCTTAGGTCTAATGGCTCTTTTTCACTGTACCATTAAGAACACAGCAGATGCTCACAAATGCAGGCAACTCACTGACAATTTCACTCATATTTTGATAAAACATTTGTGCTTTAGTTTCAACTAAAAACAAACAAACCCACCATGACCAACAACAAAAACTCTTTATTATTTGAAAGACTTGACCTCAAAATCTCTTTCCAGTCAGACTATATGTGTTTGGATTAAGAAAAAGCAGCTAGCCTTGCTTTTGCAATACCATGTAACACTATAAATTCTCGCTACTTTACATTCTGCCTCATGTATCTTTTACGTAGCCTATAGCTAAGTTTCAGTTGTAAGATCACTGTAGCTAATGAAAATATACGACTTGGAAAAAGTTTCAGAAACCACATTTATCTGCAGTTCTGGGATATAGAAAAAAGAGCTTTGTTTTTACTTTAAACAATTTTTAAAATCTGATTTGCAAGTTATTTAGGAAAAAGGAGATGCTATTTTAAAGGTTTTCTTTAAAAATAATTTGTAATACTATTGGGAATACCTTCAAAACATCCTTGTCAATATCTTCCTAAATTACTGCATTGTTATCTTTCCACTAGACTGAAATGAAAGTTTGCAAAATACCAACTCAACAGTAAGGAATTATTTCAATCTCCTTACATAATTACTGAGTAGCAATTATAAAAAAGCAGGACTCTGGGGGATAGAAAGATAAATAAGTAGTCGAAAGGAGTTGACAATCTAGGTAAGAAAGCAGAAAAATGGTGCAGGAAGAGCAAGCCTGTTAGTGATCTTAGAAAATCAGTTAGGAAAACTACTGCCCTGCTAATTTATTTACCTGTTTCATTCCCTGTAGTGGAGAGAATGAAATCACCAGAGACCCCGTTCCTTCAATTTTAAAGTACCTCAGAACCCTTAGAGTAACTCTAGCCAATAGCCTAAATCCAAGCTGAAAAAGTGGGTCTTTAGAATCAGCATGAGGACTACTGTACTTTACCTTCTCCACCTCTCTAGTAGGCTTCCAAAAGGTGAGTCATTAAAATGGTCATGCATTCTCTATTACTTAAAACCAGTGGAGTAGCTGCAGGACTACTTCAGATTCTGTGTCCACACACACAGACACACACACACACATACACACACACGCTGGCCTCCTCCACAAGCTACAAAACTGCAGAGGCCATGGCAAACAGCTTTAACTCAATTTCCTATTTCACACTTACTTTCATCTAGAAGTAGGTAACAACTGGGTGGTTAATGCCATAACTGCAGCTGAAAAACAACAAAAAAGGAAGTAATTTCTTACTGACATTTTAAAAATTTTTAATTCAATTTTATTGAGGTATAATTTACCAAAAAAGAACCTATTTTAAATGTACAACTTCATGAGTTTTGACAAATGTATGTATCTAGTCAACTATTATAACCTCAAGGTATAGAATATTTCCATATTTTATTACTTATTTTGTACTTAGGATAAAACACTACAAGTTAGAGTGTACAGTTAAAGGTGTATACATTTTTAAAACTTTCTATATATATTGCCAAACTGCCTTCCAGAGAGTTGTTACAATTAGCCCTACTCTCAATTGTGTATGAGAATGCTAAATTTAGATAAGAAGTCATTGCCCTATTGGCATTTGTCTTGTCTTTTCCAATAAAAACTGAATTTTGATAAAAATGAAGGAAAAGAGCTTTCAAAATTATTTCTTTACTTGGACAATTAATATCTGCGAATCATTAGAGAAGTGGGACCCTTAGGAGCAAATTGAAAGCATGTTTGGAATAGAAACTACTCATGTTTTGAAAAACAAAAATGGTAATTTAATATAAAAGTCCCAACTTATTCTTTCAAAAATAGAAAAACTATCATTGAGATAGCATTTAGGTATAAGAACCTTTCTCTTACAGCAATGCTATTTAAAAGGCAGTCCATGAACCAGTCATATCAGCATCACCTGGAAACTTGTGAGAAATGCAAATGCTTGACCCCACTCCTGGCCTCTTGAATCAGAAACATTGGGCTTTGGGCCCCTCAATCTGTATTTTAACAAATGCTCTAGTTGATTCCAATGCAAATTCAAGTTTGAAAAGCACTGTTTTATAGGGTATTTTATATATACAAAAAAATTTAAACTCCTTCCAACACTTAGTAGTAAATCCAGCACTCAACAATCACCAAATAGTTTTTCAGTCTCCTTTAAGCCCTGAGATCTAGGTCTCTTATCTAACATAGTTGAGATCATCTCTTAAGATTCTTTTTAGATTTAAAAATACATGACTGCTATGCGCAAAATGCTGTATTTGGCGCTATGGTATATATAAGGAAGTAATGTATCATGATACCTGACTTCAAAGAACTTATAATTTGGTTGAGTAGGAATAACTACACAGTCTCAGTTGGTAAGTGTGAAATGGGTGTAGCAGATAATAGGCCATATAGGTACCAAAGAAGAGAGAGATCACTGAGGGTTTTGGAGAACAGGTTGGGCTTCTTTGAAAAGAAGCAACATGAGGTGTGCATCAGAAGTTGTATAGGTTTTAGATAAGCTAAAGCAGGAAGTGACTTATGGTGAGAAGAGCGCCAAATTGAATGAACTAAGTTTTAGGGAGTGTGTAGCTGTTTAGCTGTGCTAGAAACTCCAAGAAGGTGTATACTTTGAGTGGTAAAAGAAGGCTGAGTCAGAAGGCTATTGGAAAGTCACATCAATTTCCTGGGCATTTGTGAAGTATGCAGTTCTTGAAAGTGGTTCTGAGCTCAGTAGAAAATAAGAACCTATGGTAGAATGGTTTGGCTACACAAATCAGATCACAAGATCCATATTAAAATGAAACCAAGTCAGTTCAGCAATCTCAATCAAGTAAAGGTAGACATGAACTATAATAATGTTCTTGAAACTCTTAAATTTATTCTCAAAATAACAAAACTTTAAAAATTGCATGTTTGTTACAAAGAAAGTTGTAGTCAATGCTGTGACATGTTATTTTATAAAAGCTGGGTTATAACCATATTTTGTGCAACTAACACCCAAGTATTTAAAGATAAGGTAGTTTAATAAGACTCAAAAACCCTTTGACTACTTGTGGGACATTAGGCTAGTTGAATGAGAAAATGAGATTCAATAACCTACACCAACCAAATTTGGTATATTTATACATTATTGGAATTCTGTTTTGTAAAAATAGAAATTACAATGAAATTAAAACTATATGCAGGAAGATCCAGGAAAGTCTAATAAAATACCTAAGAAGCATGCCTGCTTTACTAGTAAGGGAAGACGACATTTTCATACATAGGAATCTGATAAAGATTTTCAACATCAAGTCAAATCAATCTCAGTGTTCTACGGTAAGCAGCTGTAACTTCACAGTGTTTGGAAAAAAATAACTTGCTAGACTGGAAAGTACTGCATTCAGTGCTATCTTCTACAAACTCTTTACCTCTCATGTGTATGATATCTGCATCTAAAGGCAAAGGATAATATAGAGGTGGATATAGCTTAAAATAAGTGTTTTTACCTTTAAGTATACTGAGTTTATTAAATTGGTATACAAGATTTATGATGAAGTATAAACAGTGCCAGGAATTGTAAGCATTTATAGTGCACTTCGTAATGATTGTTTGGGGGCTGCTGGTACAATTTAATATTTAGATAGTTCCCTTAAACTAAGGGGCTCAAAACATTTATGTAACTTTAATCTGTAATAGTAATTTCTGGGGGAAAAAAAGACCTACAACATTATAATCATTACCTTGTAAATAAATTGGGGATTATTTAAAACAAAGCATGTGGCTTTGTCTGTGCAAGGTCCAAGTTTGACCACAAAGTGTTCAAATGCGGGCTTCACAGTCTTGACTGATGCTTTATTGAAGTGGTCATTGTGAAAACACAATGTTGCCTTTAGATGATCATTTGTGGGCCTCCCTCAATCAAAACCACTTTGCTTTTAATAGAGCTTTGAACTAATACAGTTTCTAAAGGTTTCTTTGAAAACCTCCTTATTACTTATCTCTATAAATAATAACAGTATTTATAACAGCTCTCTGTGAGCTATTACCTCATTTTCCTGTCTAATAATGTGACATCTGACATATTTATTTGAAAAGAAAAGTGACCAAGAACTAATCTGTTTTAAACCACCAGCACTTGAACAACTTTGCAAATATGTGGTATCATGTAACAATTTCCTTAATACCTTCTCTCCATGTAGTACCTATTTTCAACACAGAGTAAACAAAATTTAGCTCTAAAATATTTCTGTTATCTTTATTATAACCTCCACTAAAAGCAGTTTCCATTTCACTATTATCTCAGAGTTATACATTAAGACTTCAGTAAAGTAGAAAATAGTAGATAAGATTACAGCTTTTACAAATGAAACTTTAAAAATTGGAACTAAGTTACTATATTCAAATATAGAATAACTACAAAAAAATTTATAGCTATTATATACTACAATGTAATTGACACTGCTTGGTCTTTATAAGTCAAGCACATATAATCACATAGTACATAGGACCAAAATATGAAAAACTTCATAAATAACTCCTTCTACAGATATGTGTTTTTCCATTGTGTGACTGTGCAGATTTAAGCTTGACTATATTAATATAACTAAAATAAGTTCCAAATTTCTATTCCTTTTAATCACATCTATTAGTATAAAAGGTTATATTCAAATAGCAGTTCTATTTTCATCTAATAACTTGTGCATATTTATAACCTATTACACATATAATTGCAATGGTGACTTTGCAAGTAGTATTAAAACTTCCATTAGTCACTCACATATGATTTCACCTGTAACCCTAATAAATCTTGAGCCTATGTGGCCCAGTCAATTCATGCAGTCATATTCACCAGACCACAGTAAAACTCCCAAATAGGAATTGAAAGGAAGCTCAAACTTTAATTATTTTTTTCAAATAAGTTTGAAGGAGATCTAAGCCACAATTCATATCCATCAACAGATCTAAAACAAACCCAAAAGCTTACTCTCGCCATTTGCAGATACTTCAGAGGATCTTTCTCCAGCCATAACCTATGCTGCATTTTCTACCACCTTTGGGGCCCCCATTAAATAGATTGATTTAGCCCCTCCCTCTAATTTATCACCCTTTTCCTCAGAGTTCTCCCTATCTGACTCTCTACACACTTTTCTAATTTTGTATAATGCAAGATCTGGGAACTTGGCTAACAAAAACTCTCCTTCAGGGTGTAGATGATTAGATAAAGATGGGGGAACCTTCATATTTTACTTTCCTTTGCTTCCTTTCTTATGCACCCACATTCCTTCCCAGCCTGTGAATATGGCAGCAATTAAAAGACACGTGGTTAGGGGTAGTATGGTGCACACAGAGGGTATAACATCATTTCACTCTTGATTTTTTACCTATCTTAGCTATATTTTTACTGATTTAGCTAATCAGGCACATCATTATTTTAAAAGCATATAATAAATAAATATTATCACTAAAATCTTGAAATCATACGATCTTTTAATCTACATTTGCTTCCTTCAATTTTGCCTTTCAAATAAGAAATAATGTTGAATTTCTATAGTCTTAATTTATATAAAAATCTACATGCCAGTTATATAAATTCATATGGTAATTAAAATCATGTGAATTAAAATAATAAATATGTATAAAGGATGAGTAAGTACATGAAGAAAAAATATTGCAGTAGCAGTAGAAACTACTTTAAAATCATATTCTAGAGAATATTTTGAGGAAAAAATTGAGTGGATTAAAATTACAGTTGATAGTGAAAATTGATGGCCCTGAAATAGAGGAAATGAATATTTATAAAGTAATTACAAATAATTAATTTTACTTAGAAGACATCATTAGGAAGTTCTTATAACATTATAATAGTCTCCAAAGTATCATAGATAGATGAATGGATTAATACCTCCAAAGTAAACTTTCACTCTGTAACTTGTATTTCTGACATCACAAATTATGAAATACTGTGTCTTCTTTTGAAGACCTAATGGCTTCTATATCTATCCATTTCCTTCCATATTAAATATTCTCAAGGAAAAATAACCAAACATAATCAGGTTTTTTTCAAGAGAAGAGCTAACCACTTCACTAGTTGACCTAATTTCTCATCAAATCTATACTATGGTAGAGAAAAAAACATGCTTTTACTTGCTATGCATCAGACTTTTACTTTAGAATAGTCTTAATATGTAACTTAAATATTTAAATATGAAGATATAATTTACTAAATTACAGAATCACATGGTAAAGAAAGTCCAAACAGAATCTATAAATATGTGGATCTATTCAACAGCTCATGATATTTTATACAAACTAGGCTTTCAATACAATTTTGCTAAGTAAGTGAATGAAAAATCAAATACTGAAAAATTCACTTCAAAACAGATATGGTTTAGTTTTTTATATTCATCATATGTTTTCAAGATTATTATTCATGCTAAATTCCAGTTTTTCAACTACAGATAATTTATTTACTTTAATATTCATTATTTTGACAAATATTGGTGACTTTTATGTCCTATCCCAAGTCCTAATTTTTAAAGAACAAGATGCACAGTATATACCTTGTTTAACAATTTATCTTTCTTTATGTGAAAATAAATAAAAGATGCTCTATCTCCCTCAGAGATTTTTACTAACTCCATCCTCACTTTAAAGATAATTCTAACTTTTAGATCAATGATCTTCAACCAGTGGCCTGTAACTCTGAGCGGCAAGACACACAAAGTGTACAAGAATGTATATGGAAATAAAGTTAGATACCCTGGCTAAAGTTGTATATATAACATGAGCATACACTTACACACACACACACACACACACACACACACACACACACACAAATCACTTAGGCTTCTTATGATGAGTCAAAGGATCAATTATTTAATTAAATGAATTTAGAATACTATCTGGCACATAGAACACCACCTGGCATATAGTAAACATCAAAAAATATTAGCTAATATTATTTTTCATTACTATTTAAAGCATTTTACAAACATTGGAACGGAAATGCTGAATATTGAACATATGGATAATATCTGAACATATGAAGAACTTTTTTGAGAAACTTTCATTTTAAGAACATAAAAATTTAATTTTATCTTACCTATTTATTCATGGTGAAAAAAATTTCATGGTAAAAAAAAAAAAACGTAACCTAAGTCATTTCTGTAAGCCAAGTATCATTATTTTTTTCTGTTGTGTTCATTTCCTACCTGAATCATTGATATTCTACTTGAGAAATTTAGTAAAATGTCTACTTTTTAGTGGATTTTTAATTGAAAAATTACAAAAAACTGACATCTGATAATAATACATTTCCAGTATACTGTCCAACTAAGTCGTCTGAAGCCTCAGTAAATAACAAAACAAACAAACAAACAGAAAACAATGCTACAAATTTCTAATCTAAGTAAACCTTACTTGGAAAGAGAAGGATTTTGGAGGAACCATATTGTATCATAAAGCCCAATATCGCCTTCATTTCTAATACCTTCTCTGGAAGAGTTCAATGCATAATTTAGATGTTTTCTGCTGAAGAAAAATGTCCAAGTAAAATTGACATACCTTGAAATAATACTTCAATACATTTTACTATTTGGGCAGATTAAAATGAAGAATACAAAAGAAGTAAAGAATATCCCACTCAAAATAAATAAAGGGTAACTGTAAAAAATTAGATAGGCTCTCTATTTAATTTTTTAAGGAATAATATCTTTCAGATAATGTTGAAGACTCCAGTATTCTTATCCCGAATTCTATTTTTCTTCCTTCCCTTCTAAAATGAACCATTATTAAAAACTTGAACTCTAGCTAGTCCACATTTTAATATTTTGCTTTATATATACCAAAATTATATATAAATTTCCCTTTACCATTTATTGTAAGTTTTTATATACAGACATTTTATCATTCAATTTAAATATATCATTCCCATTGTTATTTTCTTAACCAATGAGCAATTTTTAACAAAATTTAAAAACAGGGGTTTTTATTTGATCTTTTGTTTTGCTGTTGTTGGTGGTTTATTTTGCAATTATATTTCAGTAGAAAAACTTGGCTTATAAGTAATCAATTCCTTGAAATCTACTGAGAATTACTTTTTGACCTAGTAGGTGATCACTGCCTTTTACAAATGTTCTATATAGAGTTCAAAAGAATGTATACTCACTATTTGTTGAGTACAGAATAAATCCAACTTGTTAAGTATTTTTGTGAATTAATTCTAGAAATTTTGTTATACTTCAATATTTATTTTCATAGATATTGGTACCTTTAAATTATTTCATTCATATAGATCATTATTATCAATCATGTCTATATACTATTTATTCTATAAGTATCCTGATGTCCCAGTTCTCCTATTTTTGGTGTTCCCCAAATACCTTACATGAAAGTTTCACCTGAAGAAAATATGTCAATATACCATGGCAGATTTTAGCTAACTATACTGTTGAGTAACCTAACCTAAGGTGACTTCCCTAAGGGAGGTGGGCTAGACTTCCATATACTGCTTACGAATGAGGAGTGCACTGTGTATAGCAAACTCTAGCCAGTCCATCTAGGTCAGCTGCCACTAATTTCATCAATGAAAGGCCATTTCTGACATCCATAATGCCAATTCGCAAGCCATCACTTTCACCAATGAAAACTCATTTCCGACATTCATTATGATAATTAATACAGCCTCTTGTATTGATAGAAGTCAAAGATAGCTGAAGCACCTTTAGTAGCCACTTCTGGAATGTGGGCTTTAGATTAAAGGTTCTATAACCACCACTAGGTGGGAATTTCTGATATAACAACTGACTGGAGCCCCTGGGGTATATATCATGATGAACAAATCCATTTATATTGAATTGTGCATGATGAAATAATTTAACAACTGTGATAAATCATAAATATCAAAACATTTTTATAGTTCAAATCACTTATATCCTTTCTTACTTGGGATGTTATTGGTCCATCCTTTTAAAAAAATAGACTTCATTTTTTAGAGAGGTTTTAGGTTCACAGCAACATTGAGCAGAAGGTACAGAGATTTCTTATATGCTCCCTCCTCCCATACATACATGGCCTCCCCATTAGCAACATCTCTGCTAGAGTCGGACATTTGTTACAATCAATGAACCTACAGCACAACATAATCACCCATTGTCCCTATTTTACATGAGAGTTCACTCTTGGTGTTGTATATTCTAAGGGTTTGAAAAAATTGATCTATCCTTTCTTGACAGAATATTCAATTTACTAAATTATGGATTTGTCTAATTCCCCTTGTGATTTTATTAGTATTTGTTTCATATATTTCAAAATTATTTTAATAGCTACTGTATACAGATGCCTTTTTGTATTATCTTGGTGAATTCTTACTTTTACTGATTTGTGAATTTTTTAATATAATTATAGTTCTGCCTTTAAAACTTGTTTTATCCAATATTAATTTTGCTACAACAGCATTGTTTAGGCCAGTGTTGCTATCTTTATATTTTTAATCTTTCCTTGCCATTTTCTTTAAGTGGGTTTCTTGTATATGAAAGAAGTACATATTCAATCTTTTTCTCAGTCATTTTAGTCTTTCATGTATTTTGATTAGTGATGTATAAAGGATTATTCCCACTTTGGTTGGTTTTCGTTTATTTTGCTTTTTCTATGCTTCTTCTCTTCTACCTCTTCCCCTTTATTTCATTTTGTGACCGATAATACTTTTCTCATTCTTCCTTTTTTTTTCTTCTGCTAATATGAAAGCTGTAGACTGTATTCCCATTCTTTTAGTGTCTCCTTAAATTTCTAACCATATTCATTGTATATTTTCTCTAACCATTATTTTGTATAACATTTTAATGCTATTCTCTATACACATCAACCATTTATGTAAATAACAGTTTCTCAACTTCCATACTATTGACATTTCAGACCAGATAATTCTTTGTTGTAGGGGGCTGTTTTGTGCACCATAGATGGTTAGCCGCATACCCAACCTATGTCTACTACGTGCCACAGCTCCTGTTTGAGTGTGACAAAAGTGTCTGCAGATATTGTCAAATCTCCCCTGGAGGGCAAAATTATCCCCCATTGACTATCACTGATTTAGAGGATAAAGAAGACTTACATAGCTCTTACTTTGCTAATTTTAAATGACAAGAAAAAAAGATAGAATTTGCAAGCTAATATATACCTAACCATCTTGTATAATTAGCCTCTTAATTAACAGCTAGAAGAATTAAAAACCAACCATATGTCTAAGTCTTTAGAATTACAGTTCTTGCAAAGTTGTTTGATCACCACTTATTTTCATATCTTCATAAAATTTCAGTTAAATAAAGAGCCAAGTAAAAGTGAAATAAGGTTTTTACCTTTAATTCCCTTTCCTAAAATTATCTGTGTGTCTACAAAGACTAAGACAGCCACTGGGGCCAAGCCAGGATTCCCGTAGTGAAACAATTGACTTGGCATCACATTGACAACATATAAACAACAGTTTGTCAACAGGCTTCACATTAGTGACAGAACATTTTTTGGCAAAACAGAGGCATCCTTCTGGGCACCATGGCAAAAACAGCTACTAGCTTTCACTCAGGACTCCTCTGTATGAAGTACCAAATTAATTAAAAGATTACAATTGTGACACTTGTTTCAAAAAGATTTTTTAAAGGAAAAAATACAGCAGAGCAGAATTTCTGCTGAATAAAAATTTGCCTCTAGCAGTTTATTCATAGTTGTTATAGACCTATACATTCTGGCTAGCTGTTAAAGGTTTTGAGTTTTGTTTTGTTTTGCTTTGATTTGATTTTTTTTTAAGTTAAAACTAACATTATGGAAGTTATTTGATACCCTAATTTGGGAAACTTCAGTATTCAAGTATTTTCCCCAAATGACGATGGCAGTACTATAACTTATTCTGTTTTCAAAGTTAGTTTGTGGAAGATTAAATGAGAAATAAGAAGGCAAAACTACCTGTTTATGAAAACATAATTTATTTTAAATAAAATGTAAGTAATGCTTGACAGAATTCAAAGAAGAGACGGAGCTGAGGACCATGAGAACTTAAAAATGCTCAAAACAAAATTCTCCTGAGCTTGAACAAATAATCACTATTTCAGCACTCAGATCATTTAATAAATGTGAAAGTCATTTACCCAGTTAGGAATATAAACCCCTGCGCATGTATCTGTGGCTGAAAATTACTTAAGATAGAAAGAGGATGGACTCTGCTCAGCCTCCCTATGCTCAGTTAAGGTATGCAGTGTTTAGACAATTTTGAAAATATTTACCAAAGGCACATCCTTCTATTCCTTTAAACTAAAGGTCAAAAGTTGGAAATTGATAGCGTTACTTAGGAAGACCATAAAAGTAAATGTTATTAAGTTGAAATTGCTAGATGTAAAACTCACTAAAAACTATTCAAAAAGCTATTTTAACATTCATGCTGAGATTTACTTAACTGTCATTTGAACATAACAGTATTTTTATTTTATTTTGTTTTAATTTTTTTCAAGACAGAGTCTCACTCTGTCACCCAGGTTGGAGTGCAGTGGCACAATCTCTGCTTACTGCAACCTCTGGCTGGCTCCTGGGTTCAAGCGATTCTCATGCCTCAACCTCCCAAGTAGCTGGGACTACAGGCATGTGCCACCACACCTGGCTAATTTTTGTATTTTTAGTAGAGACGGGGTTTCATCATATTGGTCAGGCTGGTCTTGAACTCCTGGCCTCAAGTGATCCACCCATCTCAGCCTCCCAAAGTGCTGGGGCTACAGGTGTGAGCCACAGCACCCAGCTTACAATATTTAATTTTTTTAAAACTCTGATTAGTCATTTTCCTGAAGTTTGTAATGTAAATAGCATCTGTGCTCTGTGAACATACATTCTAAGTCACTTAGGGTAATATTCAGTTATTGAATATTTTTTCAACAGTTCTGTGCCCCTGCCTATGCCAACTTTGTGTTAAGTGTAAGATAAAAAGGCAAAATGTACTTTCTGCTCTCCAGAAATGTGCGGTCTGTTAGAAAAGATCGGCACATTTACCCATTTACCAATAGTTGCATTACAAAAAAAAGTCCCTGGAGACGGTTTGACCAACCCACAAAGTTAGTTCTGTGCTTAGTCTGAAGAGTGAGAGGCCATTTGAGGCAAGGTTATTGCATTAGAAAGACCAGAGGTAAAAAAGCAAGATGTTCTATGCAGGGACTTGCAGAGAGTAGAAGGAGATAAGGATAGAGACGGAGGCAAGGCCTTATGAATGATGATGGGAAGTCCATACTTTATTCCACAGTCTTTGAGATGCTCTTGAAGGGTTTTGAGAAAAGGAATGACAGGAGTAGTATTGCACGTTAGAAATCTCGTGATTACAGCACTATGGATGGGGCTATTTGAAGGGAGGACATTCTGGGACAGAGATGAGATAGCACACTCTCTCTATAATAGAATGGAAGTAGGTGTAGAAAAAGGCAAAGAACTGAGAAATAATTGGAAGAAAAAATGGACCAAACTTTGTGATTTAATTGAAAGTAGAAAGTCCAAGAAAAAATGTTTCTAAGATAAGTGACCTTGTAGAAAATATATAGTAACACAACTAGAGATAGCATACTTAGGGGAAGAAAATCATGAGTTTGTTTTGGATAGTCAACAATTAACAAATATTTGATGGAATGTCTACTGTGTCCCAGGCACAGTTAAGAGCTACTGATACCACGGTGAACAAAATAGACAAATATACCTGCACTCATAGAGCTTAAATTTATTGGGAAATACAAATAAGGTAAATATGTAAAATTTTAATATGTTAAACAGTGATAAATAATAAGGAGCAAATGGGCAGAGAAAGAGATATGCATTGTGAGGGTTGAAATTTTAGATAATCTGAGCACGGAAAAGCTCTACTATGACTTTTCATAATGACTTGGGTTGGAGAGAAAAGAAATAGTCATCAATAATTATCAAAAAATGAAAATTACAGAAAATAAATTTTTATTTGCAGTTAAAGATGGTAAGTCAGTAAAAATGATATTTTTTCGTAAACTGTAATGGATATGAATACTATTTGTTTTTAAGGTATTTTTCTTATTTTATTTTCATTCACTTTCATTTGGCTAAATTGCTTTGAAAGACTACTATGTATACCACATTATGAGCTGTGTGAAGAACATTTTTATATTGTTATTGCTTTTATTTTAAAAATTTTATATAATATAAAATAAATTTAAAATATTTACTAATATAATTTCCATTTTGATGTTCTACATTCCATAGTATAAATCCACACTTCCATCTAGTGCCATTTTCCTTCTGCCAGGACTTGCTTTACATTTCTTATAATGAGAATCTGCTGAGGATACATTCTTTCAGCTTTTATATTTTTGTAAAAGTATTCTGCCTTCATTCTGAAGTAGTTTCAGTAGTATACAATTCTAGATTGACAATTTTTTCTCCCAAGTATTTTAGAGATTGCTCGATTGTCTTCTCACTTGCCTTGTTTCCAGCAAAATATTTGCCACCACCCTCATTTTTGTTCTTCCTATGTTGCTTTAAAGGTTTTATCTTTATCACAAGTTTTGAGCAATTTAATGGTGCTGTGCCTTAGTATAATTTTCTTCATATTGGTTAAGCCTGGGTTTCATTGAGTTTATTGGATTTGTGAATTTTTATCAAATTTGGAAATTTTGTTACCATTATCACATCAAAAAAAATTTGGTGTTCTCTTCCTCTCCTTCAGAAAGTATACAGATGCTCATTAGACAGCTATATATGTATTACAGAATATTATGTGGGACATGATTCTCTTTAAAATTATTTTTAGATAAGTATAGATTCACAGGAATTTGCCAGGATAGTTCAGAGAGGTCTCATGTGTCTTTCATCCAGTTTCTCCCAATGGTTACCATTTACATAATCACAGCACAGTATCAAAGCCAGGAAAAACTGACTTGGTACAATGTACATCCATACTTCCATCTCATTTTATCACATGTATATATTTGTGTAATGCCACCACATTGAAGAACTATTCCATTCACACAAAAGTCTCCTTTGTGCTACCTCTTTATACTTGCATCTAACATCTCCATCTAATCACTCGTAATCCCTGGCGACCACTATTTTGTTTTTCATCTCTATAGTAGTGTTGTCATTTAGAGTTATACGAATAAAATGATATAGTAAATGACCACTTGAGATTAACTTTTTTCACTGAACATAACAATATTGTGATTCACCCAAGATGTATGTATTTATTGCTAAGTGGTATTTCAGGAAAAGATAAACCACTATCTAAACATTCACTTACTTAGGGACATTCTGGTTATTTACAGTTTCGATATTACAAGTAAATTGCTAGGAACAATCATGTCTAGATTTTATATGGACATAAATTTTAATTTCTCTACAATAAATGCTCAGAAGTACAATGTTTGAATTTTATGGTAATGATATGTTTAGTTTTTAAAAGAAACTGCCAAATAATCTTATAGAGTGACTGTACCATTTCACATTCCCACAGAAATGTATGAGACCATTTCTCCACATCCTAACCAGATTTTGATATTGTCATTTTGAGGTCTTAATTTGCATTTCCCTCAAGGATAGTGATTGTCTTTTCATCTTTTGCAGAGCAATAGTTTTTAATTTTGATGAAGTATAATTCATCTATTTTTTGTTTTATAGATCATGCTTTTGGTGTCACGTCTAACAACTCCTCATTAAGCCCTAAATCCAAGACTTTTCCCTATGTTTTCTCTAAAGGTTTTATAGTTTTACAATTGACATTAAATCTAAGGTCTATTTTAGGTTACTTTTGTATAAGGTCTGAGACTTATGTAGGAGTTCATTTTTGCCTATGGATAGCCAATTGCTCCAGCCCCATTTCTAAAAAAGAAAAGAAAACTATCCTTCTTCAGTTGAATTGATTTTATAACTTTGTCAAAAATAAGTTGGCAATGCTTGTAGAGAATTATTGTGGGGTCCTCTACTTGGTCTTTATTACTGTAGCTATATAATAAGTTTTAAATCAGGTAGAATGATTTTTCCCACACTATTTTACTTTTTCATAATTTAGATATTCTAATTTCTAAGCTTTTCCATGTGAAGTTTGGAATACTCTTGTCTGTATTTACAAAAATCATGTTTGCATTTTAATGGGAAATGTAGAATCTTTCAATCCACATACAAAGTAAGTCCTTCTATTAATTTTGATCTTTAATTCCTTATCAGTGTTTTGCAAGATCTGTATTTATTAGATTTACAACTCAAATTTTCAGGGTTTGTTTTTGACTGCTTGCAAATGGTACTGTATTTTAACTTCAGTGTTCATGTGTTCATTGCTAGCACGTACAATTTATTTTGTATATTTATTTTGTATCCTGCCATTTTGTTAAACTTACTTATTAGTTCTACGAGTTACATGTTTTGTTTTGTTTTTTTTTTTTTTTTTTGGTAGATTCTTTGGGATTTTTTTAATGTAGAACATCAGGTCATCAGCAAAATAGGGACAGTTTTATTTCTTTGTTTCTGTACATATGACAATTTATTTTTCTTGCCTTACAGCACTAGCTAAAAGTTAAGTACTGTGGTAAGAGTGGAAAGAGTGATTATCTTTGCCTTGATCCCAATCATAGGAAGAAAGTAGTCTTTCACCATTCAGTAAAATGGTTTTGTAGATTCTCTTAATTAGTTTTTTTGGGTTTTTTTTTTTTTTGGTAGTTACGGGGTTTTTGTAGATGGTCTTAATAATTAGGTTTAGGGTGTTCTCCTCTATTCCTAGTTTACGTAGTGTTTTTTTTTTAATCATAAAACGGTAAAAATTTTGTTAAATATTTTTTGCATAAATTGAGAGGATAATGTTTTTTTTTTCCTGAGCCTGTTAATGTGTTAGCTTGCAAGTAATTATCAAATTTTAAACCCGTCTTCCATCACTAGAATAAATTCCTAAAATAAATAAATCTACTAGAATAAAATCTCTGGGTCATGATATATAAATTGTTTTATGTATTCCTGATTTCTATTTGATAATCCTTTGTTAAACATGTTTTCATCTGTATTTCATGAGGGATGTTGGCCCGTAGCTTTTTTTTTTTTTTTTTTTTTGGTATTGCCTTTATCTTCTTATACTAGTCAGATAGTAATCACTTTTTGGAAGGAGTCATAATGTTTTCCTTTTTCTTCTATATTCTGTAAGAGATAGTGTAAAATGAGTGTTAATTCTTCTTTAAGGAATTTGGTAGAATTTTACAATGAAACCATCTGGAGATTTATACTGAGGGAAGTATTTAATTGAAAATTTAATATTATTATTAGTTATAAAACTATTCAAATTTTGTATTTCATATTGAGTAAGTTATGGTAGATTTTGTTTTTTTAAAAAAATTGGTCCATTCCAAGTTGCCAAATTTATTTGTGTGAAGTTATTTTTATTATTCCCTTATTAGCCTTATGATGTGTGAAGGTCTGTAGTTATATCTCATGTTTCATTTCTGACAGTAATAATCTATGTCCTCCTTTTTTATCATTATATATCAGTCTTGCTATGTTAATTTTATTGATCCTATCAAAGAAAAAACATTTTGTGTCACTGTTTTTCTGTTTTCAAATTCATTGATTTCTGCCTTATACATATGATTTCCTTCCTTTGCTTGCTTTGGGCTTATTTTGTTTTTATTTTTAGGTTCTTGAGATAGGAACTCCAATTATTGCTTTGAGGCCTTTCCTCTTTTTGAATGTATGTGTTTAGTGCCATAAATTTCCCTCTCCACACTGTTTTAGCTGTGTTCTACCATTTTTCATATGCTGTACTTTCATTTTCTTTAGTTTCCCGCCCTGGCTCATTTTCTGCATGCCTATGCCATTGAAAACCCAAAAATAAATTCCTGCATTTATGGTCAGTTGATTTTTGATACAAGTGCCAAAAACACATAATGGGAGTAAGGGCAATGTCTTCAATAAATGGTGTTGAAACTAATGAATATCCACAATCAGAATAATGAAATTAGACTCTTTATAGAAAACCAACTCAGAATGAATTAAAGACTTAAACATAAGACCTGAAGCTGAAAAACTAAGAGAAAGAAATCTCAATGGCATTGTTCTAGGTAACGATTTTTTTGGATATGTGAACCTGAAAGCACAGCAACAATAGTAAAAATTGATAAATGGGATTGCATCAAACTAAAAAGTCCCTGTTCAGCCAAGGAAACAGGAGTGAAGAGACAACTTACGGAATGGGGTAAAATATTTGCAAACTATACATTTGATAAGTTGTTGCTATCCAAAATATATAAAAAAATTTAACTCACTAGCAAGAAAACAAATAACACAATTTTAAAAATGGCAAAGGATCTGAATATACATTTCTCAAAAGAAGACATACAAATGGACAACAAGTATATGGGAAAAAATGCTCAATATCAATAGTCATCCAATAGATGCAAGTTAGAATGGCTGTTGTCAGAAAGACAAAAGATAAGTGTTGGTGAGGATATGGAGAAAAGGGAACTCTTACACAGTATTGGTGGAAATTTAAATTAGTATAGTCATTATGGAAAACTGTGTGGAGGTTCCTCAGCAAATGAAAAGTAGAACTGACATACAATCCAGCAACCCCAGTGATTGGTATATATCCAAAGGAAATGAGCTCAGCATGTTGAAGAGGTATCTGCACTCCTTTGTTTATTGCAGCATTATTCACAATAGCCAAGATATGAAATCAACCTAAGTGTCCAGCAATGGATGAACAGATAATGTGATATTTATACACAGATAGATAGATAAAGATGTGATATATCTTTTCACATCTATCAAACAGATAAAGAAGATGTGATATATAATCACATTGTATTTTATATATATATATATATATATATCACATTGTATTATACACACACACACACACACAATGGAATACTATTCAACCTTATAAAAAAAGAAAATCCTGTCATTTGAAACAACATGGGTGAGCCTGGAGGACATTATATTAAGTGAAATAAGCCAGGCATAGAAGGACAAATACTGTATGATTTCACTGATATGTTGAATCTAAAACAGTCAAACACATAGAAGCAGAGAGCAGAATGGTGGTTACATGGGGCCAGGAGGAGAGAAGAAGGGTGGGCTAGGGAGATGATGGTAAAAGGATACCATCCATCCAAATTTCAAGTAGATCGGAGGAGTAAGTTCAAGAAATCTATTGTGCAACATGGTTAATAACAATGTATTGCATTCTTACAAATTGCTAACAGAGTCAATTTTAAATGTTCTTATTACCAAAAAATGATAAACCTGTGAGGTAATGTATATGTTAATTAGCTCAATTTAGCCATTCCACAAATATATATATTTCAAAATATTTTGTACATAATAAATATATACAATGTTTGTCAATTGAAATAAAGTAAAAACATTGGAGAAGTACCAGAGATTATTAATAAAATGAATTTTGAATTATGACTCTAATTTAGCCAGATGTACTTAGGGAAAATACTTACAGGTAAAGGGAAAATGTACAAAGATACAGTGGTGTGAAGGAACACCAGCAGTGTGATGGAGCAGACCAAATTTGGGAAACATAGGATTTTTCACTATGGATCAGCTGATAATATGTTAGATATGGGTGCACAATGGAAAGCTGAAAGAAATGAGGGAGATAAGGGGCCTTTTTCTGTCATGAAAGAAAATTTAGATTTTATTCTGTTGGTAGTTTGAAGCCACCCAAGAATTCTACAGGGAGCAGGAAGTATCAGATATGCTCCTTAGGAAGACTATGTTTGAGAATCAAGCAGATCAATTTAAAAATTTTAAGTACCCAGAATAAATTTATTATATAATAAATAAAATGATTTAAATAGATTAAAAGAATGCCCATGAAATATTAATACATCCATGGAACACAAAAGAAAATCAATCAGATAATTGACCACAAAGAAAATGTTAAATCCAATTAAAGAGTAGAAATTTCAAAGGTTAAAATCTCTCATCATAAATACTATGACTATAAATAATTTTATAACATTGAGCAAAACGTAAAAAAATTTCCTGCAATATGATACTTAAAAATGTAGAACAGACATACTGAAAATGCTTCATGTTGTGCCCTGAATACTTTTTCCAACCTTGTGTTTTTAAACTTGTGTGCCTTGGTTTTATGATCACATTTTTGTGGCTTGATATTGTGGCAGCTGACACGATAAGGGGTTTAGGTAAGATAATTCATTTTATCTTAAAAAAAGAAAAAGAAAAAAACGTAAATGCTACTTACTGCCCATCTCTCTGCATTTAAATAAAAATAATATTTAATAAATGCTCATTATGCTGTGAAAAAAATTCTGTCCTTATTTGCATTTTGTTAGTTTGGGTTTAAATTTTAATATCTCTCAAATTCCCTTTTGTATTCCCTGATAGCCTAAACAGATGCTTAAATCATATTTACCGTAATTAACCCACTTACTTTCCTTTGTTTTTGATTCTTTCTTATTAATGATTCCTCTCTACAGCCTATGTTTTCTACTCAATCTATTCATTGGCAGAGTGCACAGGATAATCTTGGTATTTGAAAACTGAAGCAACTGTTTTACATTACCAAACAAAAAAATAATTCAATTGATTTTCTGCAGCAAGGTTTTCAAAATACTTCAAAGTCATATTATATGCTTTTAATCAATTCAGTGAAAGGTTAATATTTTGAAATATAAAGGCTCTCTATATTTCAACTATTATTTTGAATAACAGATACCCATTTCAAAAAAAATGCATTTCAAAGTCGTAGCAATTGTTAATAATGTGCTTTTAAAAGAAATTTATGTAAGAATTATAGCACAGAAAAATTTTAAAAATACGGTATTAAACAAGCTAAGAAATACATAAATGTGAAAACTAAAGAACCAATTATTTAAGTATATTAAGAATTAAAAATGGGGATATTCCATAATTGTTTTTATGCACAAATTTAAAGTATGCTAAACTGGCTCACTGATTACATTATTTTAGAGTAGTGTTACTTAGCAGGTTAATGAATTTGATTATTAAAGACCTAAAAGTACCCCTTAGAAAGTAATTTCATGGTATCATCTCTGGAGAGAGCATTATACACAGGTATGCCTCCTTTACTACATTCACTCATTCAAAAATACATTTATTTTGCATCTATGACGTCTGAAAGGACACTGGCCAAGAGACTTTGGTGTTTAGATGAATGGGCAGTAGTTAGGATTAAAAAGGTGAAAAAACACTCTGTGCCCTCAAAGTGAAAAGTATGGCCACTTACTACTGATAACACAAAGCACAGGTAATAAGTGCTACAAATGTAGTAAATGAAGAAAGCAGCCATATAATCTGTTGTTAAATGCATTTCTTAAAATAAATCATTTAAATTTTAGTAGTAAAGATTTTATAACTTTCTACCAATATTTTCACCATCTATTTCCTATGCATTACGTTTAAAGATCTGGATGGTTCTAATTTCCCACAGTAAATATCTTTTATTAAAAACCATTTAAATACCTATGGTCATATTGAAACGGGAAAGGTTCCGTCATCCCCCTCGCAGGGCGTGCGATGTGGGTGTGGCTTGCTTCTTCAGTGCCCCGCTGCTCAAACTTCTAGGGGAGCATACAGATGGGCAGGCTGTGGGGCTCTTGACTCCACGGCAGTGTCTAGGGGTGAACGTTTACAGCTCCTGAAGCCCCAGTGGGCGTGTGTTACAGGGTGCTCTTTTAATTTGCCGTCTATAGGTGTCTTGTGTAAGTCCGCTCAATTAGAACCTCTACCTTGTCGCAAGGACAGAGGGCTTTCTGTATCCCGGGTTCTTGCCTTGGTGTACCGGAAGAATCGGATCACATGCGGGACTGGAGAAAGAGTACAAAGTTTTATTGAGTGGAAGTAGCTCTCAGCTGATGGAGGAGCCAGAGGCAGACGATTTTCCCCTGGAATTGGGCCGCTAGGTGGCCCCGGCTCTCCTCCAACAGCCCCGGCCAAACTCCGCCTAGTCCCCTCAATCAATGGCCTGCAGGCGTGCAGATGTCTGTCGGTGTGTTTTTCTGCCAACATGCTCCTCTCGAGGTCCTCTGGAGGACCAGCCGCTTGAGTCTTCTACCGCTGAAGTACTTCTCTGGAGGTATGGCCACCTGTGTGTCTGCACACCAGCGTCTCGCGTTTTTATAGGCCCCTGATGAGGGCGTGGCAGGTCCGGGTGGTCTTGGGAAATACATTTGGGCAGGAAATGCCTGTGCTCACCTAGGTCCCTGGGGGTGGAGCCCTAGCCAGGGACCCACCTTTCTCTCCAGAACTTCCCTTCCCCGATTCCGTATCATTTAAAGGAACCATGCTCTTCCCTTGCCAGCATTCCCGTATCAATATAACATGCACCAACTAATAAATCTTCAATTATTATTGGCTTCATTTTAAAAATCGAATAATTCCTTGATTTACACACACACACGCACACACACACAAAACTGAAGAGAGGAGAAAAATCAAGCAATTCTTTTCTTAAAGGAAATTAAAGAAAGTAGTTTCAGTTAAGTAATCTGACATTATGTATTTAAAACCTATATTTTTTTAAAGTTTAATTCATCTGATTGGCAACTATCTATTACAGTTAAGACTTTTTCATCAGTAGAGTTTACCAGATAGGAAACCTTTATTGGCTAACTTGTGTTTGCAAACTCCAGCTTTAACACATTTGTTAACTCATCCCTCTATTATATGTTCATAAGTAGTTTTATAATATAAAGGAAAAAGAAAACCTCTTTCTAAAGCACTATAAAATGCTATTTTTAGAAAAAAAAGTATACATTTTATATGGTATATAAGTTGTTTTCCAAGAAGAAAGTGGTAGTGTGTAAGGACAGTGATAGACTTACTCTGATAAGGTCTGTGAGTTTTTTAGGGTAAGAACTTTTCAAGTGGGATTTTCCAGTCAAAATACATTTTCCATACTATAAACAGTGACTGAAAATAAACACAGATTTTTCTGAGAGGTAATTTTACATTTTGCCACATATTTGTCACAACATTCCACCTTAAAATAATATTTCGGAATTCTTACCTTAACTGACCCATTAACAGTCTTCCTCCCCAATTTCATGCTTCAGTGTGATCACTAACAAAACAGTCGACATTTCTTAGCTGGGAGGTAATAGCATTTCTGAATGACCTGAAATCCTCTGGAATTGTACTCTACCTGATTTTCAAGGGTGTTTAATCCATTTGTATGCTCCAAATTTTCCATTTGAATTTGCATCAGGTCATGTAATATCAGTTTCTTCTGTGTCACCTGATGTAGCAATAACTTCATTTAATGTGACACTGTGTAATGTACAGGTTAAAAAATCCCTTTTATTCTACTGGAGTGGGATCGATCCAATGCTGCATCTGTCCTACACCACTGATTTACTTAATGGGTGTAACTACTAAATAAAAAATATCTAGCTACTTCTGCGCATTTCAGTATGACAATTACATGCTTGTCTTCCTAGTTAACCACACCACTTTATACCATAAATGTGTTTCTTATATAATATTATGAAGAAGCTAAATATTAAAACAATAATAAATTTCCCTTTCCCCCTTCCACCCATGGGAGCTGTCAGGTTGGAATGTAAGAAAACAACATCACTTTGTGTCACTGAATTTTGTTTATATATTCATTTCAGAAGTGAATTCCAGAAAGGGAGCATTATTTCTGGCTGAAATTTAGCAGGCAAAGGATAGTGAATTCTGTCTCTAAGGCCAGACTTCATGTCACATTCTAGATTCTGGGTCTGCAAACAATGACGTCCAAAATAAATCTGGCCTACAGTCTGTGTTTATAAAGTATAGTTTATTGGAACACAGCTACACCCATTCTTTTGCATATTGTCATTCTTTTTCATATTGGCTACTCTTAGACTACAAAGGCAATACTCAGTAGTTGCCACAAATACTCTCTGTCCCACAATGCTCAAAAGATATTCTACCTGGCTCTTTACAGACAAAAATTACTGATCTCTATTCTAGAAATTTTGTGAACTGTGAACTAACGGTTGCATGATGTTAAAACAGACATTATCACACAAATTCTCTGCAAGATGACATAATTTTTAAAAGTGAATAAACATACTGAAATGCTAAATGAAACTAGTTCTCTTGTAAGCTCCAGAAAATAGAGTCATATCTCATAGCTGAGGGAGCTTTTGTCTCTTATTTGGGTATTTAGTTTTTGTTTTACATTTAGGTATATTTCTAATGTTTATTTTTGATTTCTTATCTCCATTGCTTCTTATATCAAAAGCAAAGATTTGGAAAGAGCAATCCACCCACTTCTAAGGAGAGGTGGCAAGACACTTAGGCTAGAAAGAATTTGCCCTGAGTAGTGAGGCATACGTGTTTCTAGTCTAGTCAACGAAGTCTTAAAGAAAACATCTTAAATAGTGAGTTTCTCTTAGAAAAGAATCAAAGGCTGTCTAGCACACTCTGGTTTTCCACAGATGATGCCTCCATTCAACAAACTAATCACTTACTCTGGGTTAGATTCTGTAAGACAATCTGAAACCAACTGACTTTTTATTGCTATAGGACCTTGCACTGTATTACCCAACCACATTTGGAGTGAAATTCCCATACTTCTCTTTGTCAAAAAAATCATTTCTAAAGAGTTTTATAGACTATGGCATGGTACTAGACTAGGCAATCGATGGGCCAAACATAGAGGGCGATGAAAGGTCTGTTAAGAGCAGCCTACAATGAGGATTACAGAAACACTTTCACCAAAGGACGATGATGAATAGACCCATTGGATGAAACCTTTACCACTGGATGTCTGATGTAATAAAGAGTAGATGTCAGCATCCAGAAACTGTGCATGATTTGATGTGAAAATAAACTTTTCCCTTCCTATCTTCTGATAATATTTAAATGCTATTTACTTAAGTTTTTCTTTTGAGGAAGAGATACCCATTGATAGCAGAACCAATAATGAGCCAAATGTACTGAGACTTGTTGGCAGCCAGTCTGACTAGATGGGTAACCATTCTGATAAGTACTTTGTGTGTATGTGTTAGAAGGAGGTGCAGTAAACACTTAAAAATCACCTCTGACTGTTACTAACCTGAAACACTCTTTGAATTCTTCCTCCATGCCTCACTCTCCCTTGAGACACTTCCAGTTTGAGTCTGATTACAGGAGATAGAATCCATTGTCAATAATATACTTTCATTAGCTAATTAATAGGTTGTTTAAATTACAATAAGAACGGAATTGCTCATAGACTTGTAAAAATTGTCACTGTGTGTATACAGTTGTCTAATGTATGCTGCAATTTTTCCTTGTGAAATTAACAGGGCCTGGGGGAAAATTCAGTTATTAAATTTGAATTTGCATCTGAGACTTTTCAGGACACTACAGAGTTTCAATTTATACGTGAAGTTAACAAGGTACAGAGCTTATGCATTAAATTCCCTTTCTGTTTCTGCCATCTCTGTTCTATTACTTTAATATGGACATAGTACTAGTTATATAACAAAAATACTATGTACATCAATACAGTCCTGAGACCAATCTCTTTGTGTAGTTTTATCAAATTTAAATGACATACTTAAAAGGAGTGTCTTTTGAGTATCCTACCAGATATATACAGGCACTGTATTAAAAAAAAAAAAAAAAAAAAAAAAAAACCACCATGAAAGAATCTGTTCAGGGGTATTCTTCAAGTGCACTCTACCTGCATAACATGAGGCTGAAGAAGCTCTCAGAAAACTCAGTTGTTTCTGCAAGAAGCATCTTGAATTTTAAACCTTCTAAATGTTGCTTTCAGGAATACTAGCCCTCAGGGGCAACCTAATCAGCCCTTTTACCTAAAATGTATAAGATAATTTGACCTCTAGAATCTGAGAACTTTCAAGACTGCAGTAGTTTGCATGAATTTCCGAGAAACAAAATTTCTTCATTGTCAATAGTGTCAAATCATAAAAATGTATCCATCTCCTACACCATTTTAAAATCCTGCGTATATATTATATTTATATCCGTTATCAAAATGGCAAAAGGGCAGAATAAATTCTGTCCCACCAAACTATATCATGGGACAGATACTGTTGGTGTTTCTGCAGTTTCCTGGGAATTAGACACTGAGAAGCATAACAACTGTGCAGAAAAAAAGGTGGCATTTAGTGCTTTCCTTCTGGAAAAGACAATGAAAATCTCTAGAAGCACTCCCACGTGGCAGAGACTGAAATGCAGTATCTACAGAACACATCTGAAAACACTTTTTGCACTACATAGGCTTATACATACTGCTTCTAACACTAAAGGGAATGTCATTTTTCTGTTTTACATTTAGTTTTACATTGGGCAAAAGAGTGTGAGTGGAGCACATCCAGTGGTGCTACAAGATGCACTGGCTGCCTTGAGTCACTCAGCTCCCTAAGGTACCACCAGGGAATCATGTAGGCACCAAGCACTGTAATTGTCATTTTTACTGACAACTGAGTTGGGGTAATATTATATTCCTAAGTAGCATTGATGAAAACATTGGATTATTTGTAGTAAGAACACATTTTAATTTAAATTATTTTTAAAATTTTTAACAAAATTGAAATGAGCTTTTTAAAACTGTATATTTTCAGCATTTCTACTGTTTGTCCAGTAAACTATTTATAAGTGAGATAATCAAATTAGATAATTAATTTAAACCATCTTTTCAAATGAAAAGCACTTTAAAGCTATAAGATGCTTTTAGTCTCTTAAAAAGATACTAGATTTCCTGTGATTATATGGCTTGGCCTATTGTAGAATTATTGACACATTTAATATGTTTGATGAGCCCAACATATGACCTCAATGGTAAAGTTACTGGGTATCATGTTGGATTATTAAATTAAGTCACACTGTGGGGGAAGACTCTATATTGCATTAGTCATAGTCTTGGCAAGAGGCTGGTGTCATTGTCCAACAGGGTACTTGAGAAAACTTAAGAAGTGATTTTTACCAAAGTGTGGACCACTTAAATGAAACTAGCAATAGAAAGTAAAGTCGGCTGGGCACGGTGGTTGACGCCTGTCATCCCAGCACTTTGGGAGGCTGAGGAGGGTGGATCACCTGAGGTCAGTAATTCAAGACCAGCCTGGCCAACATGGTGAAACCCTGTCTTTACTAAAATACAAAAAAAAAAAAAAAAATTAGCCAGGCGTGGTGGTGGCTGCCTGTAATCCCAGCTACTCGGGAGGCTGAGGCAGAAGAATCACTGGAACCCAGGAGGCGGAGGTTGCAGTGAGCTGAGACTGTGCCATTGCACTCCGGCCTGGGCACAAGAACGAAACTCCATCTCAAAAAAGAAAGAAAGAAAGAAAGAAAGAAAGTCTTCCCAGGATAATAGTGCGGAGTTGTTGCCACACCAGGACTGATGGGCAAAGGGAGGAAGCAAGTATTAGAACCCAGGGAGTAACAGATAGCCTAAAAGAGGATTGTGTCTACTGCCAGCCCATGGCTTGGCAGGGAAGGTGCTATGGGAATAAAACCCCAACCTCCCTCAACTTCTACTTTCTAATCTTTTGTCTATACCTATTGGTTGAAATCCATCTCAGTCCAGAGGGCAAGAGGTCCTCTTAATTAAATTAAAAAATGTCAGTCTCTGGAGGCTCAGAGTAGGGTTGATCTAGCAGGATAAATAAAGAATATTAAAAATAGAAGTTAATAATTCATAATTAAATAAATTTCTGAAATAAACTTTTAATGTTTTAAATATGAAACCATGTTTTTTAAAGTAAATTTAATTGATATTAATAAGGTTCATTTATTCACGTATTCAGCAGAGCTTTAGTGAATACCTACTATATGCCCTCTGCTAAGCACTTAGTAAAATTACTTTATATGATTCCCCTCCTCAGGGATTTTATCATTTTGTTTGAAATATAGATGTGAAAAATCAACTGTTAACAACCATACTGTAAGAGGAAATTTAAAAGAAGGAAGAAGAAGAAACTAAACGGTGGCTTCTAGGTCAAAATAAAACACAAACCAAGTGTTAAGGAAGAATAGGGGTTAGACAAGTGGACA
Organism: Homo sapiens; assembly: GCF_000001405.40. Classification (NCBI taxonomy): domain Eukaryota; kingdom Metazoa; phylum Chordata; class Mammalia; order Primates; family Hominidae; genus Homo; species Homo sapiens. The sequence goes on along the minus strand of NC_000006.12, from coordinate 97,973,102 downwards.
ATGGGAGAATAGGAGAAATAACCTTATAGGTAAAGTGAGTAGTGCAAATATACGGGGGCTCAAGGAAGCTTGGTTCAGGAAACTAGAACTTTTTCAGTTTTGCTAGAAGGAAGGAAAAACCTAGGGCCAACAAGTTTGGTCTAAATCATTAAGGTACTTTGTTTGATAAGTTAGCAGTTGTGTTTTATCCTAAAATGGATGAGGTGCCAAGGAGGAATTTTAAGCAAGGGAAAGACCTAAAGAGTTTTGCATTCAAGAGATATAACTGTTACAGGTGTGTAGAGGATGCATGGGAAGGGCATAAAACTAGAGAGCAATTAAGAGATTATTACAAAATCCAGAATTGCCAAAGATTTTGTATTAGATTTATCCAGAGAAATAGAACCAATAGGATGCATATATAAAGATATTTATTAAAAGGAATTGGCTCACGTGATTACAGAGGCTGACATGTCCCAAGACATACAGTCTGCAAGTGGTAGAACAAGAAGAGCTGATGGTTTAGTTCCAGTCCAAGTCCAAAGGCCTAAGATTCAGAAGAATCAGTGGTATAAGTTCCAGTCTGGAGGCCTGGAGGCTAAAAACACAGGATGAGTGGATGCTTCCATTCAAGTCTAAATGCAGGTAAAAGAACAATGTCACAGCTAAGAAAGGCAGGAGGAATTCCAAGTTACTTGAGGGTGGGCAAGCTATTTTGTTCTGTTCAGGTTTCCTGCTGATTGAATCGACCTGCCCACATTAGGGAGGACAATCTCTTTTACTCAGTCTACCAACTCAGATGTTAATCTCATCCAGAAACACTCTCACAGACACACTCAGAATAATGTTTGACCAAATGTCAGTCTGCCTCATGGCTCAATCAAGTTAACACATAAAATTAACCATCACAGTCTTGATAGGAAGAGCACAAAGAATATATGCAATAGAAGTTGGATATCAAATGCCTTGGAGATGATAGTTAAACCTGATGCCCCAGAGTCTGTCTTGAAAACCTGGATAAAATGTGATCTTACTGACCACTGTGAGACACACTGTGGTCTCACAGTGTGTTCAGGTTTAAAAAGCTCTCACAGGGGAGTTCAGGTTTAAAAAGATTTGTCAATGCCTATGAGGTAAACCAGCATATGGGAGAGAAGTCTGCACTAAAGTAAAGATGAGCTTTATATGGTTATTATAAACATTTAAATGGGCAATTTTTATATAATAATTTATTATTATAGCCAAATTATAACTACTCAATATGGGCCATATGATTAAATATAAGACAATTTAGTGCACCAAAGTGGTCTACATTTTCCTTAGAAAAAGAAGAGGTAAAAGCAATAGTCCACTTGTATTGTATGTGCAGATCCATTGTATATTCAGGAAATTAATATATTGATATTGAATAATTTAGTTCAATATTTCTGTTTTATTTTTTGCTTAGATGTTATGCTTTTTCCATTCTCTGTAACTTTTCATACAGCTGTCTGAAAACAATATAGCATTGTTTATTTTGAAGAAAATAATCAATTTAGGTAAACAGCAACTTAATAGAGGGTGATTTTAAAACCCTTAATTAAATTATCTTTTATTACAAACTGTGTCTTTACAGATAGCATTTTCACAACTCTAGACCTTGCTACATATAAAATTAATATATTTTAATATATAATAATTATATTATTATTAACCATATAGAATCATTATCTAGTTAATTTTTCTTATGTAGAACTATCTATGTGTGAATATTTTCTGTGTTAACATACCATGGTGAAATGGATAAGCTGAATATCATTTGCAATATCCAAAGGCAAATTAGTTGGTATCAGTTGCTTCCTTAATACTGAATTATAAAACATATTATAACTTTAAGGCAACACAGCTGTTTACAACGTCTCCTCATTTTTCAGCAACCATTCAGTTCCTCCCCTCAAAAGAGTGGTTTCTATAGAAGCTTCCAAACACTCTTGTTTCCAAACTCCTCTAAAGCATGCTCTGTACCAAAAAGGTAACATTTTCACTAACTGTTTCATGTGTTTGTTTTAATTTTAACTGTAAAGCTAAATGGTAATCTCCTTGAGGTCAGGGGCCTAATATCTCACTTTGAGCTTCTTAGCCCCTAGCACCCATATTGGTTATATAGTTCTGTGGTCTACATATTAGTAGATTTATTTATTTCTCCTGAGCCTTACTTAAAAAATACTGAAAGGAAATGAGACTATATTTTGCATAAGTTATTGCCAGTTAATTTTTAAATGCAGCATAAAATTAAACTTATTGAAGAAATTACCATTTTATACAAAAATAAAGAAAATAAGTAATCTTTAGTCAATATCTTAGGACTTAGATCAAACATCACATATGGCAGAATTCTTAAGAGAACTCATTACTTTTTACTTTGAATTAAAATTGAAATACATTTTGTAACTGAAATATGTGTAAGTAAACTCACTTAAAAGATAAGCTATATAAATAAACCTAACTTCCTTATTAAAGGAAAGTTAAAAACATTTATTTTCAACACAAAAATAATAAACTCCCTAACCACACCAAATTTTGTCCTCTTTTTAAAAAACATTTAAATGGGTTTTTGTACAATTAAAAACCATTTTTATTCTTTTATTTCTCTTGTAATTTGTAGGATATTTCTGTGTTTATGTATTTTCATAGACATTGTCATCTATCAGTATTTGTGGGAGATTGGTTCCAGAAACCCTTGTGGATACAAAAATCCTCGGATACTCAAGTCCTTTATCTAAAATGGTATCAGATTTGCATGGAACCTATGCAGATCTTTCTGTTCCTTTGAATCATCTCTAGATTACTTATGATACCTAATGCAATATAAATGCTATGTAAATAGTAATGCTGTATTGTTTAAGGAATAATAACAAGAAAAAAGTCTGTATATGTTCAGTACAGATGCAGTTATTCTTTTTTTTTCCCAAATATTTTTGATTCAGGGTTGGTTGAATCCATGGACACATTGCACACAGATCTGAAGAGACAACTGTATTTATGTCTAAACATAAAGTATTTGTGTCCTCCTAAATTCATTACAAAGTAATATTCTATAAACTGAATTCCACCTTTTAATTTTCCGCACTAGTTAAAAAAAAAAAAAAAACTGTTTGAGAGGACTTAAATTAGGAATTAAGGAAGACCCCAGGTCCAGCAAACCAACGTAACTGTTTCCTGTTCTGCAAAGTTCTCCGGCTCTACCAGGACTGACACTTTGCTTCCATAGATGTGAGACCAATGACCTAAATCCTTTTTTGAGTACCCCAAAATTCCACTAAAATTTACAAAAGCAATTATATTCTCATTTTATTGACATTTGAAGCATAATTTTAATTTTAAAATGGCCAGGAATGTATCCTTAAGTCTTCCTACAACATCTTAGAATCTACTCCTAGATGACATTTTAGGGCAAGGAAGACTGTTGCTCACACCTAAACTGTTTTGTTGTTTTGGTTGATTATGAAAACATTATTTTCAAATAGGATATATGATGCATAATAAAATTTAAATACAAATATCTAGGTAGTATTAGGTACCCTGCTCCAATCTCACTAATTTTTACTTGTTATTAATCATTAATTAATCCAACCCTTGCTGTCTTGCCAAAGTTCAACAGACAAAAATCAAGCTCACCTTCACTGGAAAGACCCCATTTATCTTTCCAATTTTTCCTTCTTTCTTTTCTCCTCCTTACCTACAGGAATGATAGAGAGAAAAAAAAAATTGAATCCCAGTGTGATGCCGCTGGTATGTATAAAAAACCCTTGACAGTCATTTTCCCATCAGCAGTTTCCCTGCTGGCCAGCTTCTAAGTCTCTCCCACTTCCCTTCTCCTCAGGTAGCTGGCTGCTAGATGTTTACTGATTAATTTGCATCAAATGTTCTCCTAGCAACCAACACTAGAATAGGATTAGATACTTTTGTAAAAGACTGTTTTCTGTTAAAGAAGCTTAGACTTCCTAAAACACCACAAACATAAACTAATAACATTTAAGCAAAGGTATAATGTGATTCCTTCACATTTTTAAAAGTAATTTTAGCCAGTTGCTTTTTATTGTTGTTTTTATTTGGGGAAAATCAGCAATTTTTTTTTTCTACTTAAAAATTAGCATTTGTGAACACATCTTTTTTTTTTTTTTTTTTTTTTGTAGACGTAGTCTCACTCGCTGCTGCCCAGGCTGGAGTGCAGTGGCGCAATCTCGGTTTACTGTCGTTTACTGCAACCTCTTCGCGATTATCCTGCCTCAGCCTCCGGAGTAACTAGGATTACTGGCGCTCGCCACTACGCCCGACTAATTTTTGTATCTTTAGTAGAGACAGGGTTTCACCATGTTAGGCAGGCTGGTGTCAAACTCCTAACCTCAGGTGATCCGCCCGCCTTGGCCTCCCAAAGTTCTGGGATTATAGGTTTGAGCCATCGCGCCTGGCCCACATCCCCATTTAAAACACAGGTAATCTTAATAGTGCAGGAATTTATACTGTATACTTTAAATAAAACCACAAAGAATTGGCCTGGTGCGGTGGCTCACGCCTGTAATCCCAGCACTTTGGGAGGCTGAGGCGGGTGGATCACGAGGTCAGGAGATTGAGACCATCCTGGCTAACACAGTGAAACCCCGTCTCTACTAAAAATACAAAACATTAGCGGGGCGTGGTGGCGGGCGCCTGTAGTCCCAGCTACTGGGGAGGCTGAGGCAGGAGAACGGCGTGAACCCGGTAGGTGGAGCTTGCAGTGAGCCGAGATCGCACCACTGCACTCCAGCCTGGGCGACAGAGCGAGACTCCAAGACTCCGTCTCAAAAACAAACAAACAAACAAAAAAACACAAAGAATTTATGTTATTTTGTAATTATCAGTGCAAGACATTTAAATGAAAACAAATAGGTCTAGTTTCTACTGGCCAGTTATATAGAGAACACAGTCAATTTTCCTATAAAATATGATTCATTTTTATTTTTTGAATAAAAATAACATGAAACACAAAAGTTTTCATTAAGATTTACTTTAACTGAAAAGTTAATAAACTCATTTTCCCTATTTCTCAAAAAGTCTTAGTGTCACAATTTATATGTAAACTTTGATAACAATTTTTAATATCAAATTATTACTTAATGGAAAGAAAAGCCATAAGAGAAAATATAACATGTATAATAAATCATGCATAGTAACATTAAATACACTGACCAACAGGACATGATATCTTAGCAGGTCTTTGAAATAAGAGGAAGAAATATTTTATTATGCCCCATTAAGATTTTAATTTAGCAGAGAACAATGCAAGAGTAGAAAGTAAAATATTTAGTGTGATCAATAATAGTTTCAGGTTTTAAAGTTATTAAGTTTAAAAGTGGTAATCTCAAGGCTGTAAAACACTTTATAACTTCAAAAATCTAAGATTAAAAAAATAAAAACCTATAGTTTAATCATCTGGTGGAGATAACAGAATATTTTTCCTAGAGGTAAGAATAAAGCAGCAAATCCTTCATATAGAAATGCATTACCGATTCAGCTATGATGGTGATTACCCCTAGAATATTAGAAGACTGATATTTATGTAAATTTCCTTTTCCACTAATAGTTTATTGTTTTCTACGTGGGCATTTCTTAAATCTCACATGTGCTTTTAAGAAATCTGAAATATAAATAATAACCACTTATTTCAAGTTTCAAGACTTTTTAGTTAGGTAGTATATTGAAAACCAAATTCAAATTTTAGAAATTGCATATATAGATACTGTAACTTTTTAGCACCTTGATAGATGATTGTAAAATAAATTATCTAGGGTTAGAGACATGGGAACCCATATTTGTTGAAGACTTACTCTATACTAGGTACAGTGTCAGATTTTTAAATAAACTGTCTCATATAATCATATCCAAAACAGTTAATATGATATTATCCTCAAATTATGGATCCTATCTGAGATTCAGAAATGTTAAATTGCTCCCAAAGACCACAGAACAAAGTTGAAAATCATGACTGTGGGACACCAAATCTGATTCCTTTCACTATATAAACAACCTCCCATAATTATGGAAGCACATTCTCCACCCCCCAAGTACTTTAGTTATTGATACCCAAGTTTCACAAAGTACTCAGCCAGACTTGGCCTGGACTTTAAAATTACTACTTTCTTCTTCCCCTTATGGCTTATCAAAATCTCCACCATTTTCAGATACCAGTGATAAAAGACTAAACTAACCTGCATAAAAATATGAGATTAAACAACCGATTTTAAGTGTTTATCTTCAGGTAGAGAATAAAATGAAATTTGATTGGAGACACTGAGTTTTTGTGTGTTTGTGTGTGTGTAAATGATTGTCTTGCTAATTCATACATACATTCACACACACACACATACACACCTCACACATTCCCTCAAGGATGCCTTTCTCCTCCATCTTTGCCTAGTCCAATGTAAGAAACACTCTTTGTTAATGAGATTTGAAGAATAGATGTCCCTGATCCATCCACTGACCTATCAAAGGGTTCCAGATCAATCCTGTGTGGTAAGCCATTGACTCCTGTTAAAACCATGGCTATATTGATAATGAATGAAAAAATGTAGAAGGAGAATAACCTGTTGTTATCAGCTGAATTTTGATCTCCCCTGAGTAGCACCAAGCAAGAGATTCAGACAGCAAGGTTTTGGAAATGTATTATTACAATTACATGTGTTCAATGATGTCACCCACATTTTGAAGAGCACATCATTAAGAAATATGAGCTAAGTGCCTACTTTCAAAACCTTGGAAGAAAAATAATGGCTTAAACTGCTATAAGCAGATGCAATACTAAAGGACAAAATGATTTTTATATATGCTCTTTGTTGCAAAAATGAAAGGCAAAACTGAGAACTAATGCTTTACAGAGTCCAATATGATGCCCTTACTAAAGGTGGAAGAGGGAAATGGCATCTAGAGGGAATAGTAAAAGAAGTGAGCAATAATAAATACTAAAATAAATTCTGGAAAATATGCTGCAGTACCAACAACTTGAAAACACTTAATAATTCAACAGAGAAAAATAAATAAGGTATTGCCTTAGTTGTTTATGAACATGCAAAAGAGAAAAAGAAAAAAATCTCTGCAGTGGCCTGAAGCAGTAGGGAACAAGTGAGTTAGAAAAAGTAAATAATGCTTTAGGCAAGATATCCTGCCACTGTCCTCAACCCATAAACACAACAGTATATCAGTTTTATCAGAAATTATAGAGAGTGTTAAGCAAATTATACTTTGTAAAACATTAAAAATATTTTTACAGTAAAATTCCAATACACTGTCTATACCCAGAGCAGCTATTGCCTATGAGTGATAGTGGCTGATAAAGTAGCCCTACTTATGTAATGCCACACAAGACATTCTTGCTGAAAAATATTCTTAGACACAGAAAACCTCCAGAGGGATTAGATCCAGCTCAGTGAAGCTCTCCACTCCAACTCCTAAATTGTCCTCAGTTTACTACCCCAACTCCTGCCATCATCCTTGGTATCTTCGGCTCATTTGATCAACTCTTCCAACAATCCAAATTTAAGACCCTTGACAACTTCTTATCCCACCATATCTACCCTTATGGTAAACTTGAGCAAACTCATAATCACCATCACACTCAGGGTCTGGCAATGGCTCTATCTGAAATCTCAAATTCCAAAGTCCCACTCTGATTACAATTCTGCGTCATATTCACTCCTCCTCTGGATCATTTCAGCTACATCTGGGCTTCACCTCATTAAAGTTTCTAGTTCCAGACTACCATCCCTTTCTCCCAATACATTAGCTTCCTCTTGAACTCACTACTCTGTATAACTGGCTGAGACTTCAAGGTGTTACAGTTCAATTACTTCTATTCTTCCACCCCAGACTCTGCACACAGAGGATTCAATCAACCCAAAACTTTTGCTATTTTCACACCTGGCTTGCCTGTGCGATACATTACTTTGACAATCGTATTTACTAACTTCAGCCTGGTCCAAGTGGCATTGACCTTCCATTATCAGTCAGTGGCCAACTGTCAGAACAGTGATCTCCTATTCCTGAGTGGCCACTCAAAATATTCACCATCACCCTCAAAAGCTTTACTTAGTGGTGTGCTAGTAAATGTTCAATCAACAGCCCTTTGAAAACAACACAAACAAAAAAGCCCAAATTTGTAGCATTTACTGATTTTCAAACTGTAAATGCTTCCAACCATGGCTGATTCCAAACTACTAACGTGACATCACTGGATGCAGAGTGGGGAAGAAACGTGTGGTAAGTAGCATACCTTCATATGGCCTTTCCACCAAATACAACCTGGTATCTGTTCTCAGACATAATAGATATAAATAATCTCAAGAGTATAATTAACAGTGAAAGGTAGTAAAATAATTAGGAAACCATGACTCTTGAGTATTTATTACCTTCACTTTAATATAATTTAACTATAAATTTATGTAATTTACATTTTAATAATAGCCAAGTTTAACAACTAGCTCTCAAAATTCTTGAAAACTCAGCGATTAGCTCCTGTAAGCTTCAGCACATCACTGCCCTTGCACCATTGCGAACTTTCATTTCTCTTAGCTGATGATCCTGCCTCATACTCTACTGAAACACATTCAAGATTGCCCATTAACGAAATTTAAAACATCCCTTGACCCCTGACCCTGTGTCTACATCTACTTATCTGGATTTTTTATACCTGCATATCATTTTTATCAGAAATTCCATTAAAAAGAGTCCATATTACAGTAGTAGTTTCTATATCCTTACTCTCATTCCTTGCTTTTTCTCTGAAATTTTATGACATCACTATGGGAAAAAGCCATAAATTACATCCAAAATGCAAGGATTTTTTTCTCTCAGTTTTCCGATTGCTTTTTTAAGCAATTCTTGCAGCATTTGGCTCTATTGCATCTTCTTTCTGTCTTAAATGTTCTTTCTTCCTGACTGCCGTTTGGCCTTAGGCATTCTGTGAACCGTGAGAGACTGGGTATGGTACCCTCCATAAGCATCCCTGCAAGGACCAGCTAGCTGATCAAACTGGCCCCCCTACAGCTGAAGGGTGTTGGCCAGGTAAACAAAATATTTGCTGCAGTTGAGGCTGGGAGACTCATAGTCTTTCCAGATGTAGTGAGTACAGAAGCTCTTGCCTGTTTTCTTGAGAAGAGATGACTACTTAGTAAACCACTTGGCTCCTGGGCCTCTCATACTTATGGGATTGCTGTTGCTTCTTGCATCCCAGAAGTTGAACCTGAGGCCCAATACCTAGATAAAAGAAAGAACACATCTAAGGGGGTCCAGCAAAAGGGGGAATATATTCAGAACACTTAGAACAGGTGACTCAAACTGAAATAGAACTGAAGTGGAGGTGAAAACACAGCTAGAATAAAATTAAGATATACACACAGACGCACACACACACACATACTCAGGACAATGCATGTTTTCAAAACATTCGTGATCTGGCATCAGCTCATTAGCTCAGTTTTCGTTCTCTAAACCCAACCCAGTAGATATCTCAGGAGGTACAGGAAAGGTGGTACATCTGGAACCCAATGAGAAAACTGTGAGAAATACTGCAGGAGATAAAAGGTGGTTAGGCTCTTGCATGAGTAACTTCAGATAAGAGAGGACCATATAGCGCAGGCTTACACGAATGGCAAGAACCAGAAAGATAACATTGAATGCTGGCAAAAACTAGAGAGTAGGATAAGTGCTAGTAGGAGAGCAAATGCTGATTTATAGAGCAATCTACCAGTCTGTAATGAAATATTTGTGTATCCTATGACTCACCAATCCTGCTTCCAAGTATATCAGAACGTCAGGATGTAACTGTCCAGTTTATATGCTGGCCAACTCCAGGGCTTATCTTTCACACAGGGTACTGCAAATGTATACTACATATAAAATTACTTGTGTTTTATAGACACACAAAGTTCCAACAAATGTTCAGTTGCTACATTTATAACTCATTGAAAAATAGGATGAACATGTTGAAAAATCCTTTGATATTAATACATATAATTAATTTAAATAGGTGGCTATATTCATCTCTAATAAAAGGGTAAAATACTAGAAATTCTTTATGTCTAACCTATGTTTTTAATAAAAGTCATCTATTATGATTAGAAATATTTAAAAATGTATGGAGGCAAAAACAATCAGATATATCATACATAATATTATGTGCTTTCCTATCTTGTTTCTAAATAATTTTATCTTGACCTGTCAGTGAGAACTTTTCCCCTCACCTCTCATAATTCAATATCCTGAATCCAGAGAAATGGCTGTTTCCATCTGTACCACTTAGAATAATCAATACTTAGTTAAGTTCATGCATAATAATGAATATGTATCTCCCAAAACATGCTTTGCCAAATTTTGGTATATAATTTTATCCAAGATCAGGACCTTGACAGAAGGGTATCTGCATTTTCATTTTATTTTACAAGGGATAGGGGAATGCTGACTATCTACTTTCTACTTTTTCCCCTTATTATTGCTTTGTAAAAGGAAGCATTCTGCCACAGTGAAATAGACATGTGTTTCAGAAAATTCTCCCTTTAGGCCCAAACATGGGCTAACTTCAATAAATGAAAGTGGCATAGTTTACAGAATTGGTTTCTCACGAAGTATTTAGTTGAATCAGCTTTTTAGATGCCTTCAGATTTTTTAAGAGAAGCAAAAGAAAAAGCATTCTTCCAGCATCAAGAAAACACTTTGCCACAGATAATTGTCTCATTTAATTTGCATTCCATTGCATACCAAACTGAAAAATAACAATACTCAGGAGTCCAATCCGATGGAAGACTTCCTATCAAGTAATAAAGTGATAAGAGAAATAAAATGGGAGAGGAAGAAGGGCTGGGAGTAGTGACTCAGTGAAGTTGATGGGTTGGTTGCAAATTCCCAAGTTCAAGTTATCAACCTTTCTTCCTGCTTTACTACTAGCTCCTCTTCCACCAGAAAAAAAAAAAAATACAGACAGCCTAAGATATCAGCTGACAAACCTCATTATTGATGGCATCGGGTGGTAGATCAATGCTGAAGGAAAATCAATAGTAAAAATATTTTTCAGTGGTGCATACAGATGAAGAGTCTCAGCATCATTTCTTGATGGAAACCACAAAAGTTCACACACCCTCAAGAGTCATTGTTTCATAGGAGGCAAGACCTTACTTGGTTTTTAGAGCTACTAATTTGCTCCTATATGTTTTCCTGTGTTGTAGAATCTGTAACTGTTTGCTACAAAACAGCAAGGCAGAAGGAAGGAAGGAAGGGAGGGAGGGAGGGAGTGAGGAAGGGAGGGAGGGAGGAGAAGGGAAGAACAAGGCAGGAGGTGAAAGAGAGATAAAGATTCCACTAAAAATAAAATATAATTTCTCATATAGTGGTTTGATTCATGGATATTTACTACATATATGTCCATTTAATAAGTGTAAAGACTGGAAACCTTAAGCATTAGAAAGCATGCCTAAATTGAAAAGAGTATATCAATTTTTCATTTGAAGAGAGTAACTAGAAATAGTTTTCCTTGCGTGGAAAGATGACGCTTCATAAGAAATTCCATGTTAAGGGATGCTTGTTTAAAATGGGAGAATGATAGGGAAGCAATTCTAAAGAATCACCCTGATTTACAGCCTCTGGTCCCAAAACAGCCTCACACTACATGTCAGTTTTCTTTCCAAGTCATCAATCAGATCAGATCAGAGTACTCTCCTGCCCTAAAGCTTGCAGATATTCCGAAGAAGTGCCCAGACAAGATTATTACTGGGTGAAGTGGGGAATAAGTGAAAGGCTATCACCAGAGACAGTTAACTTTGAAGGGAAAGCAGCAATTTTTGATATAATAGCCAAAGAAGGCATTGGTTAAAAGGCGACATATAAACCAAACTTGAAGGAGGAAAGAATAACATGTGGATATCTGGTAAGAATAGCAGTGCAAGGGCCCTGAGGTAAGAGTGTGTGGCTATTGAAATGTAAGCTTTAGGTCCTCACTTGTGACAGATATCTTCCAAAGTTCTGAAAGGAGCTCTAATAATCTTGTCTGTGTAATCTGTGAAGTCGTTTCCTTAAAGGGTCCTCTCAAAATTGTATAAGCTTCAGAAGCCATAAAACTTGGACTTGCCCTTGTGTGTTAGTTACCCAGTTGAGGTCCACAGAAATGAACATGCCCCTTAGTAAATAGAATTGAAACTGTTATTCTGTCAGAATTGCATCCCATCAGGAGAGAAAAACCTATCTTCTTGAGATAGGTTATATGACTTTCACCAATAGAAACAGGAGAACACTATTTCAAGGGAAAAAAGTACAGAAGTCCTAATAAGTCTTCATTTACTTTCTCAGAGGAAATGAAGTATAATTTACCGAGTATTACTGGGATGTGTAAACTTTATAACTTATCTGTTTTGATTTATATTATACATAGCGTGTTTCCAAATACTGATTAGCAGTCAAACACTCAAGTTTAAGGCTGTGAATAGAGGGGAGCCAGGAAGCTCATGTCCTTCCATGAAGTAATCTTGAGTGAACAGGACTAGAAGAGGCTGGTGGTAGAAACTTAAAATAAGCTGAAGTCCAGAGTCCTGCAGGAAAGACAGTAGCAAGGGCAGAAGAAGTAACATCAAAGGGGCTGAAAACCTGATAGCCAACATTCATAATTTCTCTAACAAATACCTCACACTTAAGAGAACCCGTCAGGATATTCCATTGGTTCATACTCTGAAATCCTTCTAGAACATTTCCTCTTGCCACTTCTTCTACCACTACTATTCTGCTTCAAGCAATTGTCGCTTCTTGCCTGATGTTTTCAGCAGTGTCCAAACCATCCTGCCTCATTCTGGACCTTTACCTCTCCTACAAACCACTTACTCTCTACAGTCAGAGTGACCTTTTAAATAGAAGTCAGATCATGAAATTATTTGTCAGACTGAAATCAAATCCACAAAGTCCATTATGATCTTTATTTCCAACCCCACTCCTCTTTCTGCTTTACTTTTTATATCTTCCTCCCATTGCTTACTCTGCCCCAGCTATACTGGCTGCCTTGCTTTTCTTCGACTATAGCAAGCACACTCCTGTCTTGGGGTTTTTGCACTTGCCATTCCTACCAAATAGCCACATGATATTCCTTCCTCTTTCAAATTTGGCTCACATGTTACCTTTTAACCAATGCCCTCCTTGGCCATCATATCTGAAACTGCAGCTTTCCTTTCAACATTCCCTATCTCTGTTCCCAATTTATTTTTCATATTAGCATGTATTATCATCTATAATTGTATATTTGCTTATTGTCTGCAACTAAAATGTAAGGTTTATGAGGACAAGGCATTTTATCTTTTACTTACTGCTCTATTCCCAGTGCCTAGAATGGGACTAGCGTTTAGTAACTATTTAATAAACATCTGTTGAATGAACAAATAAGTTAATGAATGACAGCAGCAGAATGATACACATGGGACTCTGAATTAGCTCACTAATGTATTCAGCATAAGCATAAACTCTTTGGCAAGACATTAAGAGTTCTTTTAACATCTTCAACTGACTTTTCAGACTCATTGCTTCCCATTCCTCCTGTATACTCTGCCATCCAGTTAGGAAAAGCTATATATCCATTACTTCCTTAATACATCAGGTACTTTCATGCCTTAATCTCTTGCTCACATTGTGCCTTCTGCCAGGAATGTCTCTTTTTATCTTCTCGTTCTTTCCCTAGCCAACCTCTGCATATCTCTAGAGACAAAATTCCAGTGTCTTTCCCCTCTGTGAAGTCATCTGTGACTCTTCTATACAGAATTAATTAATCCCTGCTCAATGCTCCTGGAGTATATTTTACATGTCTCTTTTAAAACAATCAAATTATATCTCAGTTATTTATACCCCAACATGAAATACAGTGTCTCATGCATAATAAATATTTGTTGAATAAATCAATACCTAAGAGTTTAATCTTTCTAGGCCCAAGACACAGGACAATTCAGTGTTTTACCAGTGATTTCTTACCAACTACAGTATTACCATATTATTGCTGTCAATGATAATTAGCATTCATTAAGCGCTCATTGCATGTCATACACTGTTTCAAACACTTTACAAATATGATTTCATATCATGATCCAAAGGGATTTCTTTATAAATACCAGTCATCACAGCTGATGTTAGAGTTGAGGAAACTGAGTTGTAAAACAGTTAATAAAGGTCTGCTTCCTGAAAATGTGCTCTTTGACCATTAGGCTGCAGAATCTCTCAGAAGAATGGTTTAAGGAGAAAGCATGTCCCAAACAAGATGCTATCCAAATATACATCTTTCATTTTCTGAGTATCATTCATTAAACAAATTGATAACGGCAGGAGGCAGACAAATTCCTAGGCAGACAGGGGTGGGTCCCCATACCTGACAAATTAAAGCCTGAAAACCAAGCTGCAGGTTTCAGGTAAAGTCCCCGACTGGAGTGAGAACTTCCTCAATGCCTTTTAGCCAATTGAGTGGTGCTTTTTCCAGGCCCATGGACCAACAGGCATGCACTCCTCCATTCAGAGCCCATAAAAACCTCAGATGGTCACAGGTTGGGACTACCCAGCTTTGGGTAGGGCTACCCACTTTGGGTCCCCTCTTCACTGAGACCTGTATATTCTGGTCCAGCTGCAGCCTTGCATGTAGCCAGCTCCTATGCCAGAGCCTGAAGCTGCCCAATCAGCCACAGTAGCCGGCGCGCCTGGGTGTCCTCGGCGGGCCTGAGATCCGGCCAGTAGCACAAGCCGAGCACAGCCTGCTGGCCAAGTGGGCAGAGCAAGTACAGCTGCAAGCCCAGAGCTGAGCAAAGGCAGGGCAGGAGTGCCTCCAGCCATGGAAATTTCTGACTGGTGAATCAGCACTCGAAAGAATCCTCTGTCAAAATCTTTAGGCAGTGTATACACCTCAATGGATTAAAGGCATTAAACTAGAAAGTGATCTATTGAAAATATTTAAATAACCTAAAATAAGCATAAATTTAGAAAGTGGAATTAACCAATAGTACATATTTCAACAAATTATAAAAGAACGACAAAAAGTGTTATCCTGCGAGTAGAAAATTTCATACAAGAGGGATTCCCACCCCACCCGGACACACACACACACACACACACAGAATTTACTCCAAAGAAAGAGTGAGAATTTTATCAGTATACCTATTCAAACTTCCTGCTAGTCATCATCAACAAACTGCCTCATTGATCTCAAATAAGCTTTTGAGGGAGAGAGTCGAAAGAATTCCAAAAAGAAACCAGCATATGAAACAGGGCGATATGCTTTAAGAAGGACTATTCAGGGATTTGCAGGATGAAAGAGGAACATTATTGTTTATATTTAACAATTCAAAAATACTCTTCAATTTTAATTCCATTTTTAGAGGCAACAAAACTAGATTATAAATTACCTGGGGATTTTGATTTCTGGTTCGGCAAGTTAGGAGCTTGAAAGTTGTTACTTAGTCCTAACAACAAGTAAAAAGCCCAACAAACTGACAACTGAACTTAACAAACTGAAAAATCAATAACTCTTGTATCTATCAGAGAAGTGAGGGTACGGGGCAAATCACTGCACCCAAAATTGGAGAGACAGATAGGTGAATACAGAGATTCATAACATAGCTAAGCAGAAGACTACAAGCAGGAAAGTCCCCAGGAGCCAGTGCCAGGATAGAAAAACCTAAACTATAATTGATGAATTACTTGAGGCTTAGTGTGGACAAGCTTGAGAGTTAACGACTCTGGAGGATCTAGTCACAGAGGAGTCCCCAGAGTTTTGTGAGTTTTACCTCCAGGAGTTGGACCAGGTTTCCATGGTCAATATTGGACAAAAAACCCCTGTTGCTTCTGGCAGGGTAGGAGAAAAGTAACCCTTTTGAAATATACCACAGCATTATTTTCTTAATAAATCCTGACCTTAGAAGAAACTATTTTACCAGAGCCTAAACTACTGAGTTTTTCTCAGAGCTCAATCAATCCAGGGAAGAGAAATATCCAACTCTAGCCCACTGTAGTCATCATATCCCATTTAAGGCTGAGAAGCACTTGTGCAGTTCATAGTCCAGACACACTAAAAAACTGAGTTCTTTAGGTATGTAAAGGATGAGTTGATGGGTGCAGCAAACCAACAAGGCACATGTACACCTATGCAACAAACCTGCACATTGTGCACATGTACCCTAGAACTTAAAGTATAATAATAATTTAAAAAGTTAATACAAAAACTGAGCTCTAACCAAAGAGCTATAGAACACTTCCCCTCCCACACCTTACCACACTACTAAATGCCTATGTACTGAAGTTTCTTTTACCCAATACATCATGTCTAGCTATTCAGAAAAAATTACAAGGCATGTCAAAAGGCAATAAACAAAGCTTGAAGAGACAGAGCAAGTATTGGAACCTCACTTAGATATGGCAGTGATGTTGGAATATCAAACTGGAAATTTAAAGGTACTATCATCAATATGTTAAGGGCTTCTGGATAAAGAAGACAGCATGCAAGAACAGATGTGCAATGTAGTCAGAAAAATGGAACTTCTGTGTAAGAATGGGGGAAAAGAAATGCTGGAGATTAAAAGCACTGTAATAGAAATGATGAATGCCTTTGATGGGCTTATTAGTAGAAAGGCTATGGCTAAGAAAAGAATCTCTGAACTTGAGAATATTTCAATAAAAATGTCCAAAACTAAAAAGCAAAGAACAAAAAGAGTGAGAAGAAAATCCAGAAAATAATATTTCAGAACCATGGGGCAGCTACAAAACATGTAAATATGTATAACAGGAACACCAAAAGAAGAAGAAAGAGAAAAGAACATGAACAACATTTGAGGAAATGGTGACTGAGAGTTGTCCCCCAATTAATGTCAGACAGCAAACCTCAGATCCAGGAAGCTAACACCAAGCAGGATAAATGCCAGGAATATCATATGAAAACTTCAGATAATAAAAGATGAAGAAAAAAAACTTTGAAAGATGCAGGAAACATATACTTTACCTATAGAAAAGATAAGAATAACATCCAACTTCTCAGAAACATGCAAGCAAGAAGAGAATGGAATGGGATATTGAAAGCATTGGGAAAAGGAAACCACCAATCTAGAAATCTTTACCCTGCAAAATGATCCTTCAAAGGTCAGGAAGAAATAAAGATTCTGAGACAAACAGAAATTGAGGGACTGTGTTGGCAGTAGACATACCTTGTAAGAAATGCTAAAAGAAATGCTTCAGAAAGAAGGGAAATGATATAGCTCAAAAACTCAAATCAACATAAAGAAACATAGAGCATCAGAGAAGGAACAAGTGAAGGTAAAATAAAAAATTTTGTATTTTTACTTCTTTTTCTTTTCTTTTTTTTTTTTTTTTTTGAGACAGGGCCTTGCTCTGTTGTTCAGGCTGGAATGCAGTGGTATAATCAAAGCTCATTGCAGCCTCAACCTCCTTGGACCAAGTAATACTCCCATCTCAGCCTCCCAAGTAGTCGGGACCAAGTAGTCAGACCACCGTGCCTGATTAATTTTTAAATTTTTTTGTAGAGATGGGGTCTCTCTATGTTGCCAGGAGTGGTCCCAAACTCCTGGGCTCAAGGGATCCTCCTGCTCGGTCTCCCAAAATGCTGGGATTACAGCCATGAGCCACCATACCTGGCCTTCTTATTCTTAATTGATCTAATAGATAAGAGTTTGTTCAAAGTAGTATCAATGTATTTGATTATGTATGATTATGAGTATGTGTACACACACACACACACATATACTTATGTATAAATGAAATGAGACAGCAATGACATATAAGATAGGAAGAAGAAAGTGGTATTATTTTGTTATTAGAAGGTATTTGCATGACCCTTGTAGTGGTCTACTGCTATTTGAACATAAGCTTTCCTTAGTGGTAAATTTATATTTCAAACTCTAGGAAATCCACTAAAAGTTTAAAAAGAGGTACAAATAATATGCTAAAAAAGGGGAGAAAAATTGAATCATATAAAACGTTTAAATAAAACCACAAAAGGCAGAAAAAGAGTGAGTGAAAAATTGGAGCAAAGAACTAGGGCAATGAATACAAAATAGTAACAAACATTATAGATATTAATTAAATTACATCATAATCACTTAAAAATCAATCAATGGTGTAAACACACTAGTCAACAAACAGAGATTGTCAGATTGTATACAAAAAAAAAAAACAGACCCAACTGTATGTTTTCTACAAAAACAAAACAAAACAACAACAACAACAAAAAAAACCCTTTAAATATAAAGACACATACAGGTTAAAAGTTAATAGATGGAGAAAAATATACCATGCTAACATTAATCAAAAGAAAGCGGGATTAGCTTGTTATGATGTCTGCTCTGTCTGAAATTTATGTATTTAAGACAGAGCAGACATCATAACAAGGAAGGTTATCAGTGATAAACAGGGACAACACATAATAATAAAGGGGTCAATTCCTCAAAAAGATATACCAATCTTCAATGTGTATGAGCCTAACAACAGAGTGTCAAAATATGACGCAAAAACTAATAGACAAGCAAGGAGAAATAGATGAATCTACTATCATAGCTGGAGTTTTAACACTACCAGAAATGTACAGATCTAGCAGGCAGAAAATCAGTAAGAACATGGTTGACTTCAACAGCACCATCAAGAAACTAGATATATTTAGGTAGGTGCAAAAGTAAATGTGGATTTTGTCATTAAAAATAATGGCAAAAAATGCATTTACTTTTGCACCAACCTATTACTTGACATCTATAGATCACTTTACCCAACAACAGCAAATTACACATTCTTCTCAGGCTCACAGGAAACATGCACCAAGACAGACCATATTCCGGGTCATAAAACACACTTTAACAAATTTAAAAGAATATAAATCATAAAACGTCTGCTTTTAGACCACAATGGATTAAACTGGAAATCAATAACAGAAAGATAGCAAGAGAATTCCAAATTATTTGGAGATTAAATGACATACTTGTCATCAAAGTTGACACACGAGTCAAAGAAGAAATCTCAAAAGAAATTTTAAAATATCTTAAACTAAATGAAAACATAAGTTATCAAACTTTGTGGGATGCAGCAAAGCAGTGATTAGAGGGATATTTATAGCACTAAATGCATATGCTAGAAAAGAAGAAAGATTTAAAATTAATAATCTAAGCTTTTAGTATAACAAACCAGAAAAAGAAAAGCAAATTAATTTCAAAATAAATAGAAGAAAATAATAAAAATTTGAGCAGAAATCAGTGAAACTGACAATAAGAAATTAATAGTGAAAATCAACAAAACCAAAAGCTGATTATTTGAAAAGATCAAGAAAATCAATAAGCCTCTATCCAGGCTAAGTAAGAAAAAAAGAGAAAGGACACAAATTAATAATAGCAGAAATACGGAGGGGTCATTACTACATATTTCATGGATATTAAATGTATGGTACAAGAATATCTTGAACAAATCTATACCCACAAAGTTCATAATCTAGAAAAAATGGAGCAAATTTTTGAAAGACACAAATGGCCAAAACTCATGCAAGAAAAAAATAGGTCTGAATAGGCTTCAATCTATTTTAAAAATTTAACAAATAATTAATAACATCCCAAAGAGCACCAGGCCCAGATGGGATCACTAGTGAATTTTACTAAAGAATAAGTTACACCATTGTCTACAGTCTACTCCATAAGATAGACACAGAGGAAATACTTTCTAATTCATTCCTTGAGGTCAGCATTATATAAGTTAATACCAAAACCAGACAATGACATTACAAGAAAATAAAACTATAAACCAATATCTCTCATGAATATAGATGCAAAAATCCTTTAAAAAATAGTAGAACAAATTCAAAAGCATATAAGAATTTTACACCTAGAACAAGTGAAATTTATCCCAGCTATGCAAGGCTAGTTCAACATTCAAAAAATCAATTAATTTACTCCATCACATCAACAAGCTAAAGAGGAAAGATCACATGATCCTGTCAATAGATATAGAAAATGCATTTGATAAAACCAACACCCATTCATGATAAAAACTCACAGCAAACTGGGAAGAGAGGGAACTTAGGTTAATTGAAAAAAGTATAAACCTGTATAGCTAACATCATATTTAATGGTGAGAAACTTGAAGTTATACTTCTGAGATCAAGAGTGAGGCAAAGGCAGGGTGTGGTGGCTCATGCCTGTAACCCCAGCACTTTGGGAAGCCAAGGCAAGAGGATTTCTTGAGCCCAGGAGTTTGAGAGCAGCCTGGGCAACTTAGGGAGATCATCTCTCTAAAATATATACATACATACATATATATATATATAAATTAAATACATACATATATATATAATACACATATATATATAATCCATTCACCATGGGTGAATAGATGAACAAACTGTGGTACATATGGAGATATATATATATATATATATATATATATATATATATATATATATTTTTTTTTTTTTTTTTTTTTTTTTTTAAATCAGTTTGGCATGATAGTAGATGACTATGGTCCCACCTACTCAGGAGACTGATGTAGGAGGATTTCTTGGTCCCAGGAGGTGGAGATTGCAGTGAGCCATTATTGCACCACTGCACTCCAGCCTGGGTGACAGAGTGAGACCTTGTTTCAAAAAACATCAAACAAATAAAAAAGAACAAGAAGAGAATGTCCCCTTTCACCACTGCTTCTTAACCTCATACTGGAAATCCTAGTAATTCAATAAGACAAGACAAGAAAATAAATGTATACATATAGGCAAAGAATAAATAAAACTGCCTTTGTTCACAGATGACATGACAGTTTACATAGGAAATCCAAAAGAATTGGCAAAAAGTCCCTACTGGAACTATTAATAATAAGCAATTACAGCAAGATTGCTGGATAAAAGGCTACTATACAAAAGACTGTTGCTTGCCTATATAACAGAAATGATCAACTGGGATTTAAAATGGAAATAATTGATCAATGAAAACAAATAATCAATTGGGATTTAAAATGTAAACACTGATCAATTAGGATTTAAAATGAAAACAGCTGTTGAATAAAATATACAGAGAACTCTTAAAACTCAACAATAAGGAAACAACCCAATTAAAAAGCCCTGAACGGATAGCTCACCTAAGATATACAGATGTTAAATAAGGTCAGATGCTTTACATCATAATCTTTAGGGAATTGCAAATTAAAACATTAATGATAACCATGATCTACAGATCTATTAAAATGGCTAAAATGCAAATCACTAACAGTACAAAATGCTGGTAAGGATGTGAAGCAATGGGAATTCTCATACTTTGCTGACAGAAATGAAAAATTGTAAAGCCAGTTTGGAAGACAATTTGGCAGTTTCTTATAGAACTAAACATATTATTACCAAATGATCCAGTAATCATGCACCTTGATGTTTGCCTAAATGAACTGAAAACTTTTATCCACACAAAAATCTGCACACAGATGTTTATAGCAGTTTTAGTCATAATTGCCAAACCTTGGAAGCAACCAACATGTCCTTCCATGGGTGAATGGACAAACAAACTGTGGTACATATGGACAATAACATATTACTCAGCACTAAGAAAAAGTTAGCTTACAATGCCATGAAAAAAAAATGGAAAAACCTTACATAGTAAATACTAAGTGAAACAAGCCAATCTGAAAAGACTACTGTCCTTATAATTCCAATTATAAGGATAGTCTGGAAAAGGCAAAACTACTGACAGTGAAAAGATCAATGGTTTCCATGGGTTTGGGCTGCAGTGATGAATAGGTGGAAGAGAGAGGATTTTTAGGGCAGTAAAACTGCTCTGTACAATACTATAATGGTAGATTCTTGTCATTACACACTCCCCCAAAATGATAGAATATACAACACTAACAGTAAACTATGGATTTTGGGAGATAATGATGTGTTGATGTCAGTTCATTGACTGTACCAAATGTACCATTCTAGTGTGGGATGTTGATAGCTGGGGAGACTACACATATGTAGGAGTACACGGTTTATGGGAAAGCTCTGCATCTTCTTTGCAATTTTTTAATGAACTTAAAACTGCTCTGAAAAAGAAAGTATATTAAAAATATTTAACTGTTCAGCACCAATTTTATCCACAAAATTCAGTAAATTTACACTATTTTGAAAAAAAAATCAAAAGTAATGCCTAGACTTTTCAATAGCTATCTTCCTATATCTATTTATTCATAATTTTTTTAAACATTTTGTTTAGGAATAAATATATCTTTTACAATAATCTTAGTTAAATGTTGTCCTCTTGGAACAAGACTCTGTCTGCCTATTTGTTTGAATTTGCCAAAAACGTTTAAGTGAATCTGATTTTATAGAGTGCATTCCTTTAGAGTGCTTTTTTGAATGGAAGAAACCTTGCTTCTCTTCAATCTCTGGTCAACTGGCTTAAAAAATTAGTTATAGGAGGCAGAAAAAACGTGTCTATCTTTCAAATTCTTAGCTGTCGAAAGATGAAATTTCAGATTCCACTGAACAGGATAAGGTGGCTGGGCAGCACCTCTCTGGCAAGTATGGATTTTGGATTATGCCCTAACAGATGGATTTTCCTTGATTGAGGTGAAAGGTGGAACTAACCTAAGAGATGAACTCATGGGTAATTCTACAGATAAACACTTTCAGAGTAGAACTGTAAATGTGGTGATTCTCTGAAGAAAACCTAGGGGTATTGTTTTTAAGTATTCCAATAACAAGTCATCAGAAAACTTCTGGAAAATGATTCTTGAAGATTGAGAAGACTGCAAGAGATTTAAGGGGAACATGAGTATTGGAAAAGATTTAGAATTATTCTCCAATAGTTTTATTCCTGACCCTACTTACCAACCTGGCTCACAAAGTGCCTCAGAGAAATATTTCCAATGTGTAACAATGCCCAGGAAGCTATGGTTTAGCATTACTCAGGTCAAACTCCAATATCAAGCCCAAAATGTTGCCTACATTCCTTGGTAGCAGATATTAGATTCAAATACTATGCTTCGGGAAGTCATAGCTACTGTGATTTAAAATGCATTTAAAAGTATTGTGAGACAAACAGATTTATAGTAAATGAGATTTAGTGTATTAATTTATAAATGTTGTAAGCACCACCTCCTCTCTACCCACCACCCACCACCAGAACTTTTTATAATAATGATAGCTAAAGTCAGAGGTAAGTCTGTGAAGGAAGTTCATGGCAGCACAAACTTTGAAGTTATTTTTCTCCCCCTGCTTCTCTATAGCAGAGTATGTTTTCTCCCTATAACACAAACTAACCATAAAATTAAGAATGAAAATAGGCTGGGCGTAGTGACTCACACCTGTAATCCCAGCACTTTGGGAGGCCCAGGTGGATGGGTCACCTGAGGTCAGGAGTTCGAGACCAGCCTGGCCAACAATGTGAAACCTCATCTCTTCTAAAAATACAAAAATTAACTGGGTATGTTGGTGCATGCCTGTAATCCCAGCTACTCAGGAACTTGAGGCAGGAGAATCTCTTGTACCCGGGAGGTGGAGGTTGCAGTGAGCCGAGATCATG